>NC_000001.11:209245193-209396708 GCF_000001405.40 Homo sapiens
AATGTAAATATATGATGCCATTGATATTTTTAATTGGCACGTACAACATAAATTCTACAGATACTTAATGAGCATATATAAATATATATGAAAATGTAAAAAAAAAAAAAGCCATACCTGGAAGTATACTCCTCAAGCACTGAGCCATGCTACCTGGGCAAGGGGGAAGGAGGAAGATTGGAGGAACTGATAAAGGGGACTTTAGTCTTCTCTATAAGTTTATTTTTAAAGAACATTATATCACTTGTGTAATTAAAATTTAAATTACAAAGAAGAAATGGGATCAGAATGCAGATAAAGTGGGAGTGGTTTGGAGGGCTATGCGGGGTGGTAGATGCCAGCGGGGAAAGGGGAAAGTAGAGAACACGCACAGAGTCCTCCAGCTTTCATTACACACCTGCTGAATGCACGTGCAAAGGGGGATGGTGGAACATCACGGAGCTGGAGGGCAGGCAGGGGCCTGCTGGCTGAAGCTGGAAAATAGCATAATGGTTGAATAGACTGAAAAGGAGCACAATACGGAATCCAGGCTGAGAAGCTTGTACCTGGGGAGCAGGCAGTGGGAAGTATCTGTGGGGTCTGGAGCAAGGGAAGGTTGAGGCACAAGGAGTATTTTAAAAGATTGATTTGACAAAAGATAGGTGAGAAACAGGGAGCCTCCCGAAGGCTGTTGAAGGCACCTGGACATGCAGCTTGAAACACCTGAGCTGTGGGGATGCAGAGAGAAGAGTAAACCTGAAAGACAGCTGAGAGCAAACCATGGCAGGAACTGATGAAGGGGAGGGGTGTGGTCAAGATCAGCTCAAACCGTCTAGCCCAGGAGCCCCGAGGAACAGGGAGTGGTACCTCAGAATGTAGCGTTCTAGGCCATAGTTGGACATCTGGGTGGAAATGTCCAGTTGTTGAGTTGCATGCAGAGGAAGGTCTTCTAGTTTCCTTCTGAGAGGGATTAGCTGAAGCCACGAGAGTGTACAAACTCCCCAGCAATGTGAGTGATGTCAATGTGGAGAGGGAAAGACAGAGTCAAGAACTGAAGGAGGAGAACCCACTTGCTCAGAAGTTCAGCACTGGCATTTGAGTCTCCTCCATCAGATGCTATTTACTAGGTGCAGGTGCCACTGAAAGAATTTTATTTATTTATTTATTTACTTATTTATTTTGAGACAAGCTCTTGCTCTGTCACCCAGGCTGGAATGCAGTGGCACAATCTTGGCTCACTGCAAACTCCGGCTCCCAGGTTTAAGTGATTCTCCTGCCTCACCCTCCCGAGTAGCTGGGATTTCAGGCGCGCGCCACTGCATCTGGCTAATTTTTGTATTTTTAGTAGAGACAGTTTTGCCATGTTAGCCAGGCTGGTCTTGAACTCCTGACCTCAAGCGATCTGCCTGCCTCGGCCTCCCAAAGTGCTGGGATTACAGGCGTGAGCCACTGTGCCCGGCCTAAAAGAATTTTATATCTACACCAGGGAGGCCTCTTTCTTTCTTAAGAAATAATTTTTAAAACTAAGGGAGGCCCACAAAGCTATGTGCATTATATTGTAAGAATGCTTTTCCCTGGCAGTCTGCATTCCACTGCACTTTCCTGTTTGAATAAGCCGAGAGCTGTGACACAGAAATGACTGCTGTTTGCACTGGCTGGGCTCTCCAGGAAGGCTTCTCTCCTTTCCTTTGGAAGCGGTTACTGACTAAATGATGATTCTTTGCAGTGGTCATGAGCCTTGCAGTGATCCTCTTGCCTCAGCCTCCCAAAGCGCTGGGATTACAGGCATGAGTCACCATGCCTGGCCCTTTTTTAATCCATTTTGACCTCATGCATCCCTTCCAAGAAGAAAAAAGAGGAGAGTTATGCCTATTTTTTCCCCTCTAGGTTTTTTCATTTGTGAAAAAAGTAGAGTAAGTTATTTTGCCAAGATTGCTTGGTAACTGATTGAAAGAAATAACAAATACCTGAGGAAAGTAACAGACACTTACTAATTGCCAAGCACTGTGCAAAGAATTGTATCTGCATCATCTCATTTATGATTATCCCCTTTATAAAGAGGTCACTGAAGCTTCCTAGGACAAACAGGAGGGAGCAGAGCCAGCACTAAAGCCCAGGTGGTCTGACAACAGAGTCCCTCCTGCTTAACCACGCACTACATATAATAAGGAGGCAGCTTTCATTCTTTTATAATTTAGATTTTTTTGGTTGACCTTTTGTACTAGTCTGTGTTCTTCAGAGAAATAGACCAATAGGATATGTATGTGCATGTGTGTAAAATACGTATTATATATATATTATATGTAATATACATTATAATTCTATATATTATGATATACAGCTAATTGTTATTTTATATATATTATATATTCATATGTATAATATATTATATATTCATATATATTACATATTCATATGTATAATATATATTATATATTCATATGTATAATATATATTATATGTTATATATTCATATGTATAATACATATTATATATTGTATATTCATATGTATAGTATATATTACATATAAATAAAATAAGAAATTAGCTCATGCAACTATGGAGGCTAAGTCCCAAGATCTGGAGTGGCAAGCTGCCCCAGGAGAGCCCATGTTGTAAGTTCCAATCCAAATGCCAGCAGCCTCAAGACCCAGGAATAGCCAATGTTTTAGTCTGAATCCAACATCAGGAAACAAATGATGTCCCAGCTCAAAGGCAGTCAGGCAGGCAGGGGGAATTCTCTCTTACTCTAGGCAGGGTCAGCCTTTTTGTTCTATTCAAGCCTTCAACAGATCAGATGGGGCTAGCACACATTAGCAAGGACAATCTGCTTCCCTCAGTCTACCGATTCAAATGTTAATCTCTTTCAGAAACACCTTTACAGACACACTCATAATAATATGTGACCAGGTGTCTAGGCACCCCACAGTCCAGTCAAGTGGACAGATGAAATTAACCATCATATCCATATTGTTCCCTAGAGCTACTTTGATGGATAGGGGCTATGAATTTGTTTGTTCGGATTTTTTTTTTTTTTGGTCTCTTCTCTCTGAATTCCTCTTCTTAGAAAGAAAAGTCACCATGAGCAGACAGAGAAGAAACTCATGCCACCTTCATTTGGCGACCAGTTCCCAGAAGTCGTCTGGCAGAGACCATGTGATCTTCTTTCAGGGCTGTGCCAGGGAGACCCCTCTACTGGATGGGAGCCTAGGCTACAGGGTCAAGAATTGTCCAACTCTGAGAGTCTGTGTACCTTGATAAATTTGCTCTTTCTGTGTCCTTTTCTTCTTATTTTATGTGAAGGAAGCTTCAGAGCTCAGTGATGGTGAGGCATTTGTTTTGGCTATTCAACTTCTTCCCCAAACTGGAAGGGTATTTTTTAAGGGTGTAGTAAAGTGCAGTCTAAGAATACAGCCTTTGTCATTAGTCAGAACCGAAGCTAAATTTCAGCTCTGCCAACTGCTAGGTATGTGAGTGAGTTCCTTAATCTCTGTAATACTCACAGGATTGTTGCAGATCGAAGTGTTAATGTATAAGAAGCAAGCACTTATGATGGTGCCTGCCAGGTGGTTAGCATCAAATAAGTCTTCACTGGTACTGTTATAACAGAAGGCAGGCTCATTTCACCTGTATCAGTCACTGCCTACAGCCAATAATCAGGCCAAGAGGTCCTTTGTTGCCACCTAGTGGCCATTAATTGCACTACACCACATAGCTAAACCTAACTAAATGCAAATACAAATGCAACTTAGGTGTCTAAATGAAAGAAAAGGCAGGGTAAGATTACGTACGAGTGAAACTACCACCTTCACCCTAGGAAGCTTGATTTTTAGCCTTCTGCTGCTTGGTGACAGGAGCTGCCTCCTCAAGAAAGCACTGATGCATGCACAACGAGATGAAGAACATTTTTTGTTATAAATTGGAAAGTTTATTTTATTATTTTTTTAGAATCTATTTACAAGATTAGTAAAATGTATGGAAAGGTGGGTAGAGAGATAAGCATGTGTTCGGATTAAATAGACCACAGGCCAATGCAGCATGGAAGAAAAGACTTCAGTGACGGATTGTCTGGAGCCCACACAGGGGTTTTCAATAAAATCCAGGCCAAAGTGCCTTGGGCACACTGTGTTGAAGGTTTTAGCAAACTCGAGCAGAGAGCAAGCTTCCAACTCACCTCACTTCCTTCCTCCCTTGCTCCCAAGCTCCACAGAGACATCGTTTAGGGAGAAAATAGTTAGGTAGTCTCCTTCCATTTCTCCAAATGTCAAAGTGAAGTCCAACAGAAAGCAATTAACAGATGTCTGCCCAGCAGAGAGTGTGGGAGTACCAGTCAGCAATGAGCACAAGGCATATCTTAGCATATCACAGGGTGGCCCCATTTACTCCCCATTAACCAGCTAAAAATAGCCTCTCTACTTCCTCAGCTTTCTGTCTTTATTAGAATCAGTCCCAACAGTTTAGCTCTTTCCCCCTGAAAGCTTCCTTAAACAAGTGGCAAGTGAGAGAACTAAATGTGGACTCCGCTCAGGTGCAAATTTCCCCAGGGAATTTCTAGCCCCTCCCTGCAGGTAACCCACCACCAACTATTCCTAAAATCTTACCCCAGGCCCCACTCAGCCAGCCCCCATACCAGAGGCAGGATAATAACCAAACTGTCCCTGGAGAGGGACCAGAGTTGGTTGTCGGGGAGAGATTATATGTGGTTAGATAGCAAGATCTTATTTGTGACATTAAATGAGCAAACCATAAAGCATCTAAAATGATTAATTTCTCACTGGCGCTGTCAGTGAGCTGTCATCAACTGACAGTTATGTCATAAGTGTCATTTTTAATGTCACAAGTCTATTCCCCATCAATGTCATTAAACAATTATGTTTGGTTTATAAAAAGAAAGGGGGAGGGAGGGGGGATGCGTGGAAAGCCATATGTAATGCTTAAGCAATTATATACTTTGCTGTTCCTGGATGGCAGTCCCCGCCAACAATTAAATCTTACTTGATTTGTTCATTTAGGAGGCAAATTATCAATTATTTGGAGGCGTCAGCCTGGGTAATTTTTTCCTCTCCACTGGCAGCAGCCACGGTGCCCTGCCAGGATTGATATCAACAGGATGGAGACAGAGCTTTGATAATGAGCCCTCTCAGAGCCTGAGACTGCAGCTCTGCTCTCTCTTTTTTTGTGCTAGGACTGTTGTGTTTTCTTTGTCAGTGTTTGGCATATGGGTGAGACGGCTAATTTTGCGAGCTGTTTAAATGGAGATAGATCTTCTAATAAGTATGCTTCCTCCTCCTTCCTTTTAAACATTTTGGTAAATATAACCTGTTAGGCAGCTCCTCACTTCTTCTCTTCTACCTTGGTTTTTCTTCATGCTAGTTATGCCGGGGCCACATTGCTCAACTCCCACTCCTGCCCCAGGTATCTGCTACGCATCTGTTTCAATGGATATGTTCACCAGAACAGCAATACCAATGACCCTTTCTGATTACTCTGTAGCATCAATGGAGAAACAGATGTATGTGGTGGGGAGGAGTCTAGCCTGGGTGAAGATTTAAGACCAGACTTTGTGAGAATGAAAAAGTGAAAGGCAGGAGGACACTCTTGCATTCTACAAAGGGATCCCTTTCTGCACTAGGGTTTCTGGGGTCAGGCCTAGAAAGAGTAGGTTTCTTTCTAAAGCGTTAAGGAGCAGGCCAGGGAGGGCCTGAAACATTTATTAAAAAAGAGACCCTTATATAGAATGCCGTCTGGGCAATTGTCATTTACACCTTGAGTCCTCATATAGATCTGACCCTTTCCTGGTGGATTCCAGAAACCGGTACATAACTGTACTTGGTTCAGTTTTATGACTTTGGCTTCTTGTTGGCATCTGGGGTGGACATCTGTTGTTTTTGCCTGCCAGCATCTTTGCTCTTCTGTAAAGAAGACTCCTGATTTTCCTGGCGGAATCATTTCTTGCTTACTCTCAGACCATGTACTTTGGGTGTGGTTGGCCCCACTCCAGGCTTCAGGGGTGAACAACTGGCTAAGGCATGATCCATAAAGACATCCTATTCCCCTGGCCACAGTAATTAGTTCAGAGAAGGAACATGGCTCAAATTGATCCAATGGGAGCCCACCTGGAACTTTTCCTGGTACTAGTGAGATGGAGTTTGAGTCTGGAAATGCTGGGGGCTCTCTTGCCACTACAAGCAAAAGTGTGTCTGAAACTGAAGCTAATACAGAGAAGAGCAAAGATGTGTCATTCCAGGTGGCATTGGAACACCAGGTGGCATTGGAGCCTCCAGTGTGCCTGCAGTCAGTGTAATCCTGGGCTTTTTAATGAGATCAACCAATAAACTTCCTTTTCACTTAAGCTTGGTCAAGATAGGTTTCTACCCCTTGTAATCAGGAAAATCCTGACTAATTCAGATTTTCCTTCATTCTCAGTTCTCCGGTTCTTCCTTCTTGCATTTATGGCCAGTTTGTCTGCGAATGTCTGTCTCTATTATTACTCATATAATGGCTTCCATTTTGTTTTATTGTTGTAGCTTCATTTTGGTTGGATAGATTGTCCAAACTCTCTCCCCACCTCCATCTATTGACCTAATGGTGGTGGAGGGTTCTGGATGGGGAATTACCAGCCTGCTAGCTTTTTGAAATCGTATCCTGGCGTTTAGAAGCTTTTTGCACTGGCTGGCTGGATTGAAACCAACTCTTTGAATTTAACACTGAATGTGGCTAAGACACATGTAAATATTACTCAAGAGTCCCTTACAATCTTAGCAATAATTAAATGAAGAAAGATGAAAGGGAGGAAAGAAGGAAGAAGAGGAATGGCAGAGTAGGGCACAGACCCCCATCTCTTGCCCCCATATCCCATGTAAACACAGTGTCGTGATGTCACACTGCCATTTCCTGAGGCCACAAATGCGTAAGACCTTTTAAGCCACTGGGCTATGCACAGTGTGGGAACCTGGCCAATGCTTCCATCTTAAGCATTATCCAGCTTGCAGTGGCCATGCCTCAAGTTCTCACTCTTATTTTTTCAAATATTCTTTCCCTGCTTAGCCCCATCCATTGAATAACAGTTTCTCTCCATCCCCAACTTCTCCAATTCTCTGGCTATGTCACATCACATCACCTCCTTCCTACCATTGTCCCATACTCTCTGCCTCAAGCTCCAGGGAGTCTCCAGTCCTTAGGGACATTATTTATAAAACCACTCATTTACACTTAACATACAGAGGCTTACTGGTATCCACTTTAAGGTGAAGTGGAAAGATAGCCACTTAGAAATGAAGAGGGTGGTTTATTGCACCTGGCATAGCATTTGGATGTGGTCTACTCACTGCCAAAGAGAAACCTGGCAAAAAGTGGAAAATTGAATCCTGTTTTGTTCACACACCACTCATGCCAAAGATGTTCCGCTGAATTGACAGGCTTTCCGACTCAATCGATTGGCTCTTTTTGTCATCTGGTAGACTCAGAAACAGTTCTCCCTTGAGCTCTTTAGTTTGCAAAAGATAAATACACACTGACTTGAAAGAACAATGGAGTAGAATAAACATGTGTGTCCTCTAGCTGCATTTTGCAAGCAGAATAGGAGAAAGAAAAGAAGAGAGAAAAAAATGGGTAGGGTGGCAGAAAGAGCTGGGGGCTGGAGGGGGAGATGGAGAGAAAGAGAGAGAGAGAATGACACCTGATGGCAAATCTGCCTAGACCGCCCCAGCTGTGCTATGCTGGAAGTGTAGGTTTGCCCTACCCCAGCAGCTGTAGCTAGGGCCCAGGTGTTTCTGGAACATTGACGTGATTCTGTGGTTGATATCAGAACTAATGCCAGGGGAAAAAAAATCTAAATTACATTTAAAAGGAATCCACCTTTTTATCTTTTAACCTTAGGCCTTCCCCAGCCATGCAGAAAAATCAATCTTGGCTAATCCACTGACCAAGAAAAAGGGAAAAGAACAGAAGAAAACGTTGCTTTAAACAGCTACTTGATGTTTAAAGAGTTATCAGAGGGAAGGTGATCCGAGAGCTCACCAGCAGAAACAAAGGCTCAAAGGGCTGAATCGAGCGGCTTCTTATCCATATCCTCTGGCTGCTCAATAGCTGGGGAGTCAAGGATAGACTTACCTCACATCTTACCTTATAGATCTTTGTTGTTGTGGTGGATTTGTTTTTTTTGTTTTTTCAGCAATATCTTCATATATGTACTCTTTTTTTTTATTGTACTTTAAGTTCTAAGGTACATGTGCACAATGTGCAGGTTTGTTACCTATGTATACATGTGCCATGTTGGTGTGCTGCACCCATTAACTCGTCATTTACATTAGGTATATCTCCTAAGGCTATCCCTCCCCCCTCCCCCCACCCCACGACAGGCCCTGGTGTGTGATGTTCCCCACCCTGTGTCCAAGTGTTCTCATTGTTCAATTCCCACCTATGAGTGAGAACACACGGTGTTTGGTTTTCTGTCCTTGCAATAGTTTGCTGAGAATGATGGTTTCCAGCTTCATCCATGTCCCTACAAAGGACAGGAACTCATCCTTTTTTATGGCTGCATAGTATTCCATGGTGTATATGTGCCACATTTTCTTAATCCAGTCTATCATTGATGGACATTTGGGTTGGTTCCAAGTCTTTGCTATTGTGAATAGTGCCGCAATAAACATATGTGTGCATGTGTCTTTATAGCAGCATGATTTATAATCCTTTGGGTATATACTCAGTAATGGGATGGCTGGGTCAAATGGTATTTCTACCTTATAGATCTTAAACCAACAGCAGCCATGCTTTCTTGACATTTCTTTGCTGAGAGCTGGAAAAACTGGTTTCTTCACTATTCATGATACAATATAGCCAACTATATGATCGTTAGGTAGGCATTAACTGCAGAAATCAAGATGGAGTTATTTCTACCTATGATATAATAAAGAATCCATCTAATCTTTGTCCCCCAGTTCCTGGCACAGAACTTCAAAAACGCTTGGAATTTCCTAAGTGATAGGAGTGTCTTGTTATTCACAAAGAGTCCTTTTGATCATATTTGAGTTTATGTTAATAAGATGACTCATGGTGGGGGTCTTAGTTTCAAGAGAGGGGCTGGCCACTCCAGAAACACCAAGCACATGATTTAGAGAGTGGAACTTATGGGCCTATCCCCAAACACCAGAGAGAGAAGAGAGATTGGATATTGAGTTCAATCACATGAATAATGATGCAATCAATTATGTCTACTTAATGAAACCCCAGATAAAAACTGATCAACAGATCATCAAGTGAGAGCACCCTCTCTCACTGATGTACCCTGACTCCATGGGGACAGAAGCTCCTGTCCTTGGACCCTTCTAGATCTTGCTTTATGTATCTCTTTATCTGGCTGTTTATTTATATCCTTTATAATAAGACAGGAATTGTAAGCATCATGCCTTTTGAGGTCTGTGAGGCATTCTAGCAAATTATTCAACCTCAGGATGAATGATTGGGGTTTCTCATAAGAGAAACCCCAAATTTGTAGTTGACTGGGCAGAAATGTGGGTAGCCTGGGACTCCACTTGCAACTAGCATCTGAGGAAAGGGCAGTCTTGTTGGGGTCTTGTTGGGGACCTTGCCCTTTAACTTGTGGGATATGATGTTAACTTGGGAAGCTGGTGTCAGGATTGAACAGAATTGTAGGACACACAGTTGGTATCAGAGAATTGGTGTCAGAATGTGTTGCCTCTTCAGCACTCTCAAGTAGGGAGGCCGCAAAAGGGACCATACGGCATAAGACGTATGGTCTCTTAGCTCTGTAGTGACTGCTGTCACCTTATATTTTTATAGCAATAGGAAAATTGGTGGAATATTCACTTGGGCTAAGAGGCAAAGTTCATAGAATTTGGGACTGAATGCACCAGGGGATGAAGTCCATATGACCATTCTGCAGCAAGATGACTCTTCAAACATCCAAAAAGCATAATTTCTTTGCAATCTACTTATAATATTCCTAATTACCATCCCCTCCACTAACACCTCCATCCAGCAATCATGTCACCCCAACTTTAATCTCAACCAGAGCACTTATTACCACTTGGCATGAAAAGCACTTGCTGAAGTCCCAGGAACAGAAGAGTGACAGACCCACAGAGGTTGCCTGTCAGATTCGCTAGAAATGGGGAACGTGGGTATCGCAATCAATGGGGATGATCACACATTTTCTTACTTTTTTCTTCTTTTTTATTGTGGTAAAATAAAAACACTTATTATTTTAGCCATTTTAAGTGTCCAATTCTGTGGCATTAACTACCTTCACATTGTTCTGCAACTATTACTACCGTCTATATCCAGAATTTTTTCATCTTCCCAAGCTGAAACTCTGTACCCATTCAACACCAACTCCCCATTACTCCCTCTCCACAGCCCCTGGCAACCAGCATTCTACTTTTTATCTCTATAAATCAGACTAATCTAGGTTTTGCAAAGAAGTTGAATCACAATATTTGTCCTTTTGTGACTGGCTTTTTTCACTTAGCATAATGTCTTCCAGGTTCACCCATGCTATAGCATATGTCAGAATTTCCTTCCTTTTTAAGGCTGCATAATATTCCATTGTATGCACACATCACATTTTGTTTTCCTATTTATCTACTGGTGAATACTTGGGTTGCTTTCACTTTTTGGCTATTTTAAATAAAGCTGCTGTGAACATGGGTGTATAAGAGTATCTGTTTGAGTCTCTATCTTCAAATCTTTTGCATATATACCCAGGAATGAAATTGCTGGATTATATGATGTTTTTTTAATATGGTAATTATATGTTTAATTTTTAAGGGGAACTAATATATTATTTCCACAGCAGCTGCACCATTTTTCTTACCTTTTAAAAAATATTTTCTCTAGGTTTTTAAAATGGTCTTATTTATTTACACGTTCATTAATTCTTAGATATGGGGTCTCACTATATTGCCCAAGCTAAAGTGCAGTGGCTATTCACAGACAGGGTCATAGGACACTGCAGCCTCAAGCTCCTGACCTCAAGTGATTGCCCCACCTCAATCTCCCAAGTAGCCGGGATTACAGGCATATTTCACCATGTTCAGCTTAAAAATTATATACTTCTTGTGTGTGTTTTGAATTGGCAATATATTCACATGATACAAAACACAAGATTGATCACAAAATATCTACCTTTTATTCCTGTCTCCAAGCCTTTTAGTTCCCCTTCTGGAGGCTGCCAATGTTACTATTTACCAGTGCTCTACTATAGCACCACAAGTCACCCCAATATCCAAGCAGGTTTCAAAATTCAATCTGAGGCTTGCTTAGTGAACAGAAATGTTTTCAAACTATCTGCTGTCTGCTCAAAGAAGGGGTTAATGGAGAGCAGAACTCTGAAATGCACTGTACATAATGAATAACAAATACCCTTTTAAGATGAGTATTTTAAAACACCAACATGTTATTATCCAAAATGTATAAAAGTGTCTCTCTTTTCTTTTTTGGCCTTGAGTACTACATTGAAAGCATTACCTAATGCCCACTCCAAAAGATTAGATCCCTCTGAAAGAAAAGAGTCAACATGCATAACACATCACAGCACCATCCTGCATCTTTTCCATTTGGGTTCACAGTTAGACATTCCCTGGTTTAAGGGAAAGAGCATTTGCAAAATGGCTCTTGGGGCTTAATTGGTATTTCTTTCTTTTGCCTGCCGGAATAATCCAGGAGAGGAAACTGCAAAGCAATTTAAGAACATTAGCATTGTTCCTAAATACCCGTCCAAGGTTAGTGAATACAACTGGAAAAGCCCAAAGAGCACCTAGGGAGATTAAGGGAGGTTTTGAAGCAGAACGCATGATTCTAATGAACTTGGGCTCTGCCTCATGGAAGAAGAATCTATCTAAATACATTAGGGCCAACAGAGCAGACAGCAGACGGGAGGCAGCTACCTAAATGCGAGAGATGCTGTTCTCAGTAAGTTGTGAAACGCTGCAAATAGATTTCGGTGGGTTTGAAGCCCTGAGTCGCTATAGGGTGCTAATTATGATTTCCATACTGTTGGCGAGAGAGACACTCCCCAGCAGGGTGTCGAGAGCCACAACATATGCACTCCAGCTGTCCTCGTGAACCGCCCCCTTGTACCCCTCACGGCGGAGGTTTCTGCTTGGTTTCCTCCTCTCACTGAGCAGATGAATTAATTTGTTTGAAGATTGGAGAAGGATTTTTGGAAAGAAAAGAGTCCATAATAGGTTAGTGCCAAATAGAAATCATTTTGCACAGGATCATTGTTGCATCCTTTTTACTGCAATATGAATGTTACCTAAACAATAAGATGTATAGAGTCAATATGATCGCATTTCAACACCTGCATCCAAACCACAAGAAATAAAATGTTATAGGTTTTAAACAAATCTCATTTTTGACTCAACAGGAAGTGTACCTGATCTTCCTGTTGAGGTTTTTTGGTGAAGGGGACATCTGGCATCAACTGTCCAGAGCCAGACAAAGCTTCACAGGTTGTGGGCAAAGCCCTCCACAAAACTGTTCTCACTTCAGATACCAGTTGCAAATTCTGGAGTCCCCAGGCCTTCCTCCCTGCTGACCAACTGCCTATAAATTCAGGGTTTATCACTATCTCTTCAGGTTTCATAATTTGTCAGAACAACTTACAGAACTCAGAAAAGCACTCTACTTATGATTATAGTTATAGCAAAAGAATACAAATCAATCAGAATCAGCCAAAAGGAGAGACACATACAGCAAAGTCAGAGAGGATCTCAAATGTGAAACTTCCTTTGTCCTCTCCCATGCATTCAGGGTGCATCACCCTCCTGATAAGTGATAATACAGAGTATTACACACAGCTGAGCTCGGTGTCCATGGTTTTTACTGGGGCTTCAGTATTCAGGCATAAATGATTAAACCATTGACTATATGACTCAATCTCTAGTCTTTTCCTCCCTAAAGACTAGTTCAATATCAAGGTAGCTGAAAGCCTCTATAATCTCATGGTTGGTCTTTCTGTCATGACCAGCCTCCATCCCGAGTCTTTTCCTTAACATAAACTACCTACAGCCCTATCCTGAGTCACCTCATAAGCAAAACCTATCATGACCTACCATTAATAGCAAAGACACTCTTATTACTTAGGAAATTCCAAGGGTTTGGAGGCTACCTCCACAAAACTAGGGACAAAACCCAGCCAAATCCTTACAGGGACAGAGGAATGGGATTGGTGGGAGATTATGAGGTCATCCAGGAAGCAAAAACTCAAGTTCTAGTTAGAGTTTATTATATCTTCTCACGCAGGTTACTTAATCATCTTGGGTTTTACATCTCATTCTTTTCACTTACAGCAGTAATTACTGATACCATTTAATGAGTGCTTACTATGCACCAGATGCTGTGCTGAGAACTTTGCCTACTTAATCTCATTTATTCTTCACCATAAACTTGCAAATTTTGTCATTTTATTATCTCTATTTTGTAAAGAGTGGAGAGGTGATAGAGATTTCAGGAGGTTAAATAACTTGTTCAAGTAATTGGAGGAGCTGTCACTCAACCACAACTGTGAGTCCAAAGTTCTGATTCTTAAGTTTCCATTCATAACACTATACTGATAATTGGCTTACAGGCATATTGGGAAAATAAATTAGAAAGATATATGAATTATTATAATCTGAAAGGGAATAACCTCATGAGTCAAGGTTGTAAGATTACCATTATTATTATGTCACTGATTATTACTATTAGCAATATTATTTCACTTTCATACTTCACATGAATCTGTCTACTTATTATAAAAGTGGTTTCTACTTACTATATGAGTTCCTATTATAAGGAAAGAACTCTCTTTTAGAGAGAAAGCAAGTCTTTAAATCATAATAAACAAAATTCCATGTAGTTTCTGAAACATTTGTTAAGTATAATACCTACTATGTGCCAACTCGTAATGTGCAACTTGGAAGGTATAGAAAGATGGGTAAGACATAGACCCTCACCAGCAAGACAAGTGTGCATAGAATAACACAACTCAAGGCAGAATGTAATAAGTGTCCAAACACACACAGAAAGCCCTCTGCTGATTCAGAGGAGAGAAAGATAGCACACAAGCCTCAAGAGATCAAGAAGAATTTCATATCCACATCTTGAAGGACAGACAGAATTTGGAGAGACTTGGATGGGTAAGAAGATGGGATTCCTGAAGAAAGGAATCTAGTAGCAAAATTAGACCAGGATGTATCACACTTATAATACATCAGTGGGTGACAATACAGACTATTACCAATCAAGCAAGCTCAGCAGAGCTTCTGTATCCACAGTTTTTATTGGAGCTTCATTATGTAGGCGTGATTTATTAAACCATTGGCCATGTGCCATTAAAACAGGTGCAATTCAGAATGTTTGAAAGGATGGGAATGAGTGTATAGTTTAGTGGTAACATATTTTTGTGAGATAAACACAGCATTTAAAATTTTAAAAAATTTGCTTCATCATAATTTTATTAGCTTTACTATGTTGAGCAAAGCTCTAACTCCTCCAGCACCACTTTGCCCATTCTAAAAATGAGGGTAGATAATGCCTAGCTCTTAAGGCTTTTGTGGGAGTTAAATGAGAAATATATTGAAAAACTCATATTCTGTGAACTAAATAACTTTAAGCAAATACAAGGTTTTACAATTTCTGTTGTTGTTTGTTTGGATTAAAGGAAACCAGCCAAGCTATGTTAAACAATATCAATGAAAAAAATATTGGAACCATACCCTGGAGGTTGGGGATAGTGTGGCTAGGATGCCAGGGTGAGGAGGCTGAGCTTTGTCCAGTAGGAACAGTAGGCACGAAGAACTCAGTTCATGTCATGTTTTCAGTTGTTTTGTTTTGGTTTGGTTTGTTGAAGGTGATTATAAAAGCATTAGTACTTATTATTTCAAGAATAGCAAGCATTAACTCTGAGAAAAAGTAAAATTGTTTATCTGAAATTTTCAGTGAGGATAAGCATGGAATGTGGTGCAAATTTGTCTTTGAAGATTATTTGAGCAGGTTTACTTTTTCAGTGGTAACACTTTGGAGAAAAGACAAAAGGTTAAATACACTTACCTGGCTTCCCCATTACCCCATCTAGAAGTCAGAGTATGAGTACGATGGTCTGTGAAGACAACTTTCAGGCTGAGAACTTGAAGCACTTCCAGCAATAACTCTAGCAGTCTGCATAATTATCTTTCTGCGTCACAGTTTGCCTTATCTAGTCCTTAGAAGCTGAGGGAATGAGAAATATGACTCCTCATTTGGCTCCATAGGCAGAGTTGTGGAGAGTAGAGAAAAATATTTATCACTTTAAAGTGTCCAAAATATTCATGTACAATTAATTTTTTAATAAGAGATTTCAAAGAGATTTACCTTAAGTAAGTCTGACCATAGAAATTTAATCAAATCATTTTAATTAACTTATTTAAATATCTAGGTGGGCTTTAATATCACAGAGCTAGAACCTAAATACTTTTATTTGCAATACTGAGATTAACTATTTTAAATTAGTTTATTGTAAAATGTTCAAAATTCAAAAACACAAAAAGGATAACATAATAAATTTTTCTATACTGTTCACCCATATTGACCAAGTGTCAAGATTTTGCTGTACTTACTATATCTATCCATCCTTCCTTCTCATCTTTTTTGATGGCATAGCTTTCAGTTTGTTTATATCTACTTTATATCTTTAACAAATGTATAAAAGCTTTCTATAAGTTTTGCAAATTTGGTTAAGTTTATGCATAAGTATTTTTTGTTGTTATTGTAAATAGATTTATCTCCTCCATTGAAACCTCTAACTAGTTATTGGTCATATTTAATGAGGTTATTAATTTATATCAGGTGATTTTGTATTCAATTTTACCAAATTCTATCATTGTTTATAGTAGTCTTTTTCACTAGTTCTTGATTTTTTCAAATATATAATATCTCCATTATTACATACATTTCTAGAAATTCTACAATTTTACTTTGTATTTTCCATTTAACTCGAGTCTTTAAGAAAGAGTTTTGAGCTGGGCGTGGTGGCTCACGCCTGTAATCCCAGCACTTTGGGAGGCCGAGGCGGGAGGATCACGAGGTCAGGAGATCGAGACCATCCCGGCTAAAACGGTGAAACCCCGTCTCTACTAAAAATACAAAAAATTAGCCGGGCGTAGTGGCGGGTGCCTGTAGTCCCAGCTACTCGGGAGGCTGAGGCAGGAGAATGGCGTGAACCCGGGAGGCGGAGCTTGCAGTGAGCCGAGATCCCGCCACTGCACTCCAGCCTGGGCGACAGAGCGAGACTCCGTCTCAAAAAAAAAAAAAAAAAAAAAGAAAGAGTTTTGATAACTTATTGATTATTTCTGGTTTAACGGTAATTTTGGAGGGAAAAGAGCTGGATTATTATGTCTATTTTCTAAAATTAACTGAGGTTTTTCTTTGTGTTTTAACGTACAGTAAATGTCTACAAATAACCAAAAGCACTAGGAAAAAAAGTATATTCTTTACTATCAGGATTCAGAGTTCAATGTATAGCTATCTGAACCACCTTTTTTTAAGGCCTTCTATATTCTTAATATTTTTTAATCTCACTGTCTTGAAAAAGTGTTATAAAAATCTTCTGTTAATTGTGTCTGTCCATTCTGTCTTTCATATTCTATGTTTTCTGTTTGTAAAAGTTGTAAAGATATTAGTGACTATTACATCTTTACTGTATATTGTATTATTTAGGTTCATTAAATGGCCTTCATGTCTTTCAATGTTTGTTGGCATGAAATCTATATTTTTCTGATATTCAGATCATGTCCTCTGCCTTCTTTTTATTTTACTTGACTGATATATCTTCATGTATATTTTTACTCTTAGCCTTTCTGATTCACTTTTTTTCCTTGATATGTTTTATATAACACCATGGAGTTAGATTTTGCTTTGTTAAGATCAACTTTTTTTTTCTTTTATAGGTAAGTAAAGTCCATTTACATTTATTAATATAATCAGTATTTTTTCTCAGTTCTGACATATTGTTTTATATGTTATTTCTTTGTTGAATCATGTGTAATTGCTAATAGCCTATTGTTTATGACCTACCAAAATGCCAATTGTATCCATAAATATTTACATATTTACATATGTCTATGACTTTTTATGCTCACAGACATATACAATATGCATGCAAAGTGCTTTACTTTGTGATTTGCTTTATAATTATTCTTTCTTTAGAAATTTAGAAAGTTTTTTTATATTCTAGTGGTTATCATTATTTAATACTCTAATTTCTTCTATAAAATCTCAACCAATAATCATTTTTTCTCCCCTCTTCCCTTCCCACTATCCACATTGTCTCTAGTATTAACTTAATGAAAAATTTTAAGAAAACTCAAGCTTCAACTACTTCCATTGTCAGACTCAAGCAATATCCTCTTGCTCCCACCTAGCACATATCAGGCAATCTGTAAGATTACTCTTCTTTCCATTTACTCACCCCTTTCTTGTCCTATTTTTGTTAGTTTTTATTATATGACACTGTCAAAGCACACATCAACAGTACACTTTTTAAATTCTTATCTCCAATTTCAGGTTGTTATTCTACATTTAAGTACATTCACACTTATCTCTGAAAACTTGTACTGAATTTTCTAGAATTACTTATTGCTTGTCTGGAGCTCATTCTCCAGTAAATTTCTCAGGAACAACTCATGAGAGTAACATTCCATGAGATCTTGCAGTTCACAATGCTGGACTTTTTCCTGTTAACACATACAACCTTTGATTCTCATCTTCTTTTCATGAAATCATTTAAAATATTTCTCTTTTTGTTGTTGTTGTTGTTGTTTTGTTTTTTGAGACGGAGTCTCACTCTGTTGCCCAGGCTGGAGTGCAGTGGCTCAACTGCATCCTGGGTTCCCGCCATTCTCCTGCCTCAGCCTCCCGAGTAGCTGGGATTACAGGCGCCCACCACCACACCCGGCTATTTTTTTTGTATTTTTAGTAGAGACGGGGTTTCACCATGTTAGCCAGGATGGTCTCGATCTCCTGACCTCGTGATCCGCCTGCCTCAGCCTCCCAAAGTGCTGAGATTACAGGCATGAGCCACCACACCCAGTCCTTCTCTCTTTTTTTTTTTAACAGAAAATGATGCTGTTGATAATTCTGATTTTTATGTGTGTTTGTTTTTGAGACAGAGTCTCACTGTGTCACCCAGGATGGAGGAGTGGCACAATCATAGCTCACTACAGCCTTGAACTCCTGGGCTCGAGTGGTCCTCCCACTTCAGCCTCCCAAAGCGCTGGGATTATAGCTGTGACCTGAGAGATCTAATTCAAATCTGATTTTTTATCTCTTAAAATGACTTGGTCTCTTTGTCTGAATTCCCAAAGAGGTTGTTTTTGTTTTTGTTTTTTCTAACTTTTAACATTCAGTTATTTTATTAGGATTTCCTTGGTGATAACTGTTATGGGTTGATTCCTCCAGTTAAAATAAATATGTAAATCTTAAAACTTCTATTTCAGCAAACTGTTCCTGATTTATAATTTTAATACTCGTTTTCCTTCCTTAGGGACTATTTTGTTGGATCCTCCTTTTTTTCATTATTTCTTTATATTTACTTGTCTTCTCATCCTTCATTTTCTCTCAAATAATTTTTATCTTTTCCTTTATTTCTGTTTGATTTCCTTCATTTTTCCTTTTTTATCTTTTGATTTTTCTCACTGTATTTTTCCATAGTATCTTTTTCCCATGTATTGCTACTTATTAGTCTTTATTTATAAGTGTATTTTTTAAAATAACTTTCCTGAGTTCTGTAAGTTCTCAATTCATAGCCATTGGCTATTTAACTATTTCTTCTATTTCTGGTTTATACTATTCTTTCAAAGTGTCTATTGATTTTTTAATTTATTTTCTCTCACTTTGCTATTGCATCTATGATATTATGATTTTATATACTTTATATATAAACACACGTATATAGGTTTTCATTCACCATTCCTGGATCATGACTCCGTAACTCTGGTTACAGTTTTTTTATAATCTGGGGTGCTTCATGTCTCTGGAACAGGCCTCGAGAAACAGAATCTCTCTCTTTAACCTCCTGTCCTCCTCTCACCTGCCCAAGGCAGGACTCTATCCTGATTATGGGTTAAAAGACTCTCATTCAGAGCGGGTCCTGCCCCACACCCTAAAAAAAAAGTCTGGGCAAACAGGCCTTCTGGGTTTAGATCATGCACTTTTTGCCCAATCACATGTCTACATAGTTGTCCATCATGCTTATGTTATGAAGCCACCATAAAAACCCAAAAGGACAGGGCTGAGAGAGCTTCCAGATAGCTGACACGTGGAGGTTCCTGGAGGGTGCTATGTCAGGGGAGGACGTGGAAGCTCCGCACCCCTTCCCCCGTGCCTTGCCTTATGCTTCTCTTCATCTGTATTTGCTTCTCCATGAAACAGGAAAAACACCCGGTATTTCCTTATCTATGAAACAGGGATCTTTAGTGATATACTTGTAATATACCTTATAATACACTGGTAAACTTAAGAACTTAAGTGTTTCCCTGAACTGCTTCAGCAAGTTAATCGAACCCAGAGGGGGTCGTGGGAACCCCAACTTGAAGCCATTAGGTCAGAAGTTCAGATTTGCAGCAAGGAGTGTCTGCCACAAGGGTGTGTTGGCGGGGGCAGTCTTGGGGTCTGAGCCCTCAGCCTGTGGGATCCGATGCTATCTCCAGGTAGCTAGAGTGGGAATTGAACTAGAGGTGAATTTGAGGTGAATTAGAATTGAATTACTTGGTGTCCACTGTTTGTCGGTGGGGAACCCCCCCCCCCCCCCAAAGAATTTGGCCATAGAAGTCTTCTTTTGTGTTCATTGCTGTGGCGTGAGAGCAAAGAAAAAATTTGATTCGGGTGTTTTTCCGAAACAGAATGTTATAGTTTTCATCTGCTTTGTGTCCACTTTTTCTGGTGTTATTTATTTCGTTATTACCTTTTTTTAAATAATAACTTTGAATTATTTAGACTATTTTTTTTTCTGTGTGTTCCCTGTTTAAATGAAATGGCTTTTCCTAGACTATTAAGGGACAGTTCCTGGTCAGTGGGGGCCAGGGGATGAACTAGGGTCACTCTCTCAGCTTCATCTTTTCTTGTTATTAAGAAGGACTCAAAATACATCATCCCATCCATCTCTCAGGCCTACGCCTGGCCAAGAAGGTTTCCTGCCTTCAGTTCTATGTTTCCCAGAGCTCTCCCCTTTAGACAAGTTATTTTTTTCTTACATGACTTCCCGGGATCTGACTCCTTTGGGCCCACAACCTCCTCCCCACACCGCTTACCATCTCAACTGTCCAGAGTTACTGCCCGGCTCAACGTGTCTGCTTCTGGCGGTTTTCCCCTCTGGAAAAGGATATTATTGGATATTTTGGCAATCATCCAGGGTTTGCTCTACTGCCTCACTCTCAGGTCTCTTGTGATGCTGTCTGCAGGCTCCTGCTTTCACTTGCAACTCTGAGCATATCGGAATAGTAGTTTCACAGTTATTCTCAGGCTTGTCCACACAGATTTTTATTCCAGATTAGGCCTTCTTTTAAGGGTGAGTCTTCATGGGTGATCTTGGGTTCTATAGCTTACAGGGCTTGTCAAAGGTTTGCATTGAGCCCACCACTCTCTTTTCCTGTTTCTGCCACCTCGCACCATCTGAACCCCAGTGTTTCTACCCTGCTCAGTTGCTGCCACGACTCCACAGCGGATTGCCTTTAGGTGCCATTTCTACATGTGGTTTTGACTACAGCAGTACTGTAGGGTTTAGAGATGTTTCCTATCACCTAGTATTTAAAAATATATAATCTAGGCATATTTTTACACTATTTCTAATTTTCTGTTTGGTTTTCTGGAGGAGTTTTGAAAAGATTAAGAAACTACACTGCCACCATAATCTCACTAGGACCAGAACTCAGGATCAATTTTTCTTAGAGAATGTGGAAGAATGAAGCTTCCACATATTCTTTATAAAATCTTATAATTTTAGAATGTGAGTTCTCTAAAACTCTTAAAGGTCACAGAGTCCAATACCTTCCTGTAATAGGAAAGATAATTGAGGTCCAGAGAGTGAAAAACAAGGCTCTCTCAAAGTCAGTGTAGAAAGTAGTAGAGCCAAGTATAAAATACAGCTTTCCCTTAGTCTTGGTGTTAGAAGGAACCTCAGGGCATGTGGTCCATCTTCTTACCCAGTGCAGAATTCCCCAGGAAGACAGGCAGCCAATATCCCCTTGAATATCTTAAAGGATGAGATGTCTAACTCAACCAGTTCCCCATGTGGTAAAGACAAACTTGTCTTTTCACTTTTTTCCTTTTTCAAAAGTATAAACGGAGACACACAAGGATGAATTGATGCAGGTGTTATTGCGTTTGTTCCCTGTTTCCTCTCAGTTTAGAAGCTGACTTGGAAGCACCTCTAGGTTGATTCACAGCCTGAGTTGGACACAATCTTTAAGTTCATCTAGTCTAGTGGATTCATTAGTCTATGCTTAAACATGCCTGGCAGCTCACTCTATCATCAATTGTTCAGGAGTTCTTCCTAAAGTGAGATGATGCACATGAGCGTATTTGTGGATTACACAACCTTATATAAATCTAAGATTGTCAGATTTATTATGTTGAATGGAATTTTCTCCCCTTTAACTTCTAAGCATTGTTCTTGGTTCCGCCCTCTGAAGCTATGCAGAAAAAGTCTCATTACTCTTGTACTTTGCAGTGCTTGAAACGCTGGAAGAGAGCTATGGGGCTCCTTCCTTGTGGCTAAGGCTTATCTTTTTCCATGGTTATAAACAAAGCCAGCACTTTTATTCCTCCTGTGGCATTGTCTGCAGTACTCCCAGCAATCTGTTTTTTCTCCTTTAGCACACTAAAGCTTATTAATGTTTCTCTTAAAACGCCAAAAATAAACAGAGTGGGACTCGACTTTCTTTGTCTCAGCATCACACTTACATCAGCACAGTGTAAGATTATGAGTCATTCCAGTGCTTCTTATTGTGCCTTATTTGTTTTCAGCTTGCAGTCAACTAAAAACACCTAATATTTTCTAGTGAACTTCTAGTAAAGCGGTTCTCCAACTTATTGGGCATGGGCCGTTGATATTTTTGTCCTTGATGTAGGAAAATAGCTTTGTAAGCAGCAACACAAGTCCTTTCAGAACTCCAGTGACTGACTGAATCTGGGGACCTTGAGTCTTTTGGGCATCAAGGTTTTCTCTGATATGCTCCATCCCTTTCTTGGGATTTAATTCTTCCTTGGCTATATTTGTTCTACTCCTTTTCATTTGAATATCATACTCCTAGATATACAAGTCCAAAGAAAAGTAGTGGGTGAACAATCCCCTTCTCACTCTTGGTAATAATTTCTACCACTTTCTACTACTCCCCTGGCATCACTGCTGTTTTCTTTTTACCACTGTCTGTACCAGTATATCATTGACTACCCAAGCAGGGGTGCATGCTGGTCTCATTCTCCTGTTTACTTTTTTTTTTCTTATTAATACAGTATTTATTTGTCTTTTCTCCGTCAAACCCTGAGCCAACCATGTTCCCCAGGCTGCCTGGGGAGGTATAGGAAAAGGAACACACAGGGCCCATCAGACATGGAAAAAAGAACTATGGGAGGTGGAGACGGCTCCTTCACATGGCGAAGAGGATGAGAAAGGCCACCATCAGGCAAAAGAGCCCCAAGGCCTCCCAGAGGGCAAAGCCCAGAATGGCATAGGAGAAGAGCTGTTGCTTCAGAGAAGCGTTCCTGGCATAACCAATGATGAGGCTCCCAAACACAGTCCCAATCCCAGCCCCAGAGCCAGCCACCCCAACTGTGGTAGCCCCAGCCCCAATGAATTTGGCTGCCATGTCTATGTCCCTTGAAATGGCACTAGTTTGGAAGCTGCAGCTAGGGACAAGTGAGGTAAGGGGACATGAGACTGCCAAGCTGCTGAGACTCTCATCTGCCATTGTCTCCGGTCATTTCAACACCACTGCAGATAGTGGATGGCTCAGCAGCTGTGAGGTGCTCTTGACCAAGGAGGGAGTGGAGATGAATTTGGAGCAGGCATACATTTTTACGGGGTGAGGGGCTATGGCAGGAGAGCTGCTCCCAGTGCAGAGAAGACAGACAGGACTCTCCTGTTTAAACATACAGTGGGGGGTCAGGGAGAGGGCATGATCAGGAAGACATAAAATTGGATGGTACATACAGACCCTCTTTAAGAGGCAGATATCTGCTGTCAGTACCTCTTGACATACATTCCCCGCCCACTCATTATCCAGGACAACACCTTTATATCTTCTAATCCCTGTATTTCCTTATCTATGAAACAGGGATCTTCAGTGATAACCTACCTTTCCTTTGTAGGATAACCTACATTCCCTTAGGACATTCCTAATAATATAAATTATTCTTTCTCACTGCCCTATTTACTATGCAGACCTTATCTATTGAGGCTGTATGCTAAAGAAGACCCTTATGGTGCTAAGGAGTACACCCTGGGGCCAAGAATTCGAAAGCCTTCACCCTAGTGTGAGTTGTCAAGTGCTGGCTGGCCAGTTTCTGTAAAGGAGCCACTAAACCACTAATGAGAGCCTCAAAAATAAACATACCACAAAACAAACACATGGAGAGAAAAGGTTAAGTTAACTTGTAAGTACTTTCCTATCATTTTTCCTGATCATGCCCAAATACTGGTCATAGGATTTCCTTTTATGTTGATAAGGGAGAATGGAGGCTGTGAAGAGGAAGTAGGACTCAAAGATGAGAACAAGGGTGAAGCATAAACTGGTCTATGAGCTGGGATTCAGACGGCATATATCCCACTTCCAAAATTGTGGTGAACACCATGAGGTCAATAAACATTACCGAGAGAGAGATGTATTTTCATATTTATTCACTACTGAATGAATATAAATGAATATATACATATACTTCTGTATACTTTTGTACATCCACCTACTCATATGCCAGTCTGAAAGACAGAATATTCCCATTACCCATCATGGAATTCCTCTGTGTGCCCATCACCACTCTCATCTACTTCCCTATTCTCTTAGAACCTGTTTTTTCTGTTTATTGATCTTCTGTTTTTCTTTATTGTTTTATGGCATACATTTTTATTTCTAAACAGTATATTATTTAGTCTTGCATGTTTTTTAACTTTATGTAAGTGGAATTACACTGTGTATTTCTTTGCCTTGCTTTTTTGTTTGTTTGTTCAATTTCATATTCCTGAGATTCATCTATGTTGCTGTAAATTGCTATAGTTCATTTGTTTCTACTGGTATATAGTATCCCATTTATTCAGCAATATATTATCCATTCTATTTGGATTGTTTCTAGTATTTTTATTTTTATCACAAAGAATGCTAGGATTAACATTCCTATGTATGTCTCCTTATGGTATGGACCAGAGTTTCTCTAGGTGTATATCATGGAATAGAGTTGCTAGGTCAAAAGCTATATGTATTCTTAAGTAAACTGGATAATTCTAAGTTAAAAAAAACTGGCACCAATTTTCATTTTTACATACTGTGTATAAGAGTTCTGATTGAAGTCACATCCTTGCCAAACCTGAAGTAGTCAAACTTTTAAATTTTTGCCAATCTATTGAATATGAAATATTTCCTTATGGTTTCAATTAGCATTTACCCACTAATGAGGTTGAATGTTTTGTTTTATGGTTT
Organism: Homo sapiens; assembly: GCF_000001405.40. Lineage (NCBI taxonomy): Eukaryota > Metazoa > Chordata > Mammalia > Primates > Hominidae > Homo > Homo sapiens. Next base: position 209,269,841 of record NC_000001.11, read on the forward strand.
TCTTCATTTCTTGTTCTTTATCTTTATCTTCTTGTAGTTTATTCATTTTTATGGATGTTTGGGTAGTTCTTGATACTTTTTTTAATAGATTCTATATACTAATTATTTGACAATTATATGTGTAACAGAACTTTCACTCAATTTGTATGTTGTATCCTTAACAATTTTTATTTCCCTTTGAAAAATCAAACTCCTTAATTTGAATCTAGTTTCACTGGGTGTTTTTTCTATGCATGAGATAATATATCTCCCCAGTCTGTCCCTTTCCTTTTTATTTATGTAACAGTTAATTCAATGAGCAAATGTTTTTAATTTTGATATCTGATTTATTAGTTATTTCCTTTTGTAATCATTGTTTTCAATATTTAAGAATTTTTTTTTTTTTTTTTGAGATGAAGCCTAGCTCTGTTGCCCATGCTGGAGTGCAGTGGCGCGATCTCAGCTCACTGCAACCTCCGCCTCCCAGGTTCAAGCGATTCTCCTGCCTCAGCCTCCCGAGTAGCTGGGATTACAGGTGTGCACAACCATGCCCAGCTGATTTTTGAATTTTTTAATAGAGATGGGGATTCACTGTGTTGGCCAGGCTGGTCTCAAACTCCTGACCTCGTGATCCACCTGCCTCAGCCTCCCAAAGTGCTGGGACTACAAGCGTGAGCCACCATGCCTGGCTAGAAATTGTTTAACTTCAGAAAATATCTTCCTATTTTTTTCAAAAATCTTTACATTTTAGCTTTTAAATTTACATCTATTTGTTATTTGTTTTGTATGGTGAGGTAAGTGTTTGGAGTTCATTTGTTTCCCCATGTAGATATTCAGTTGACTGAGCACAATAGTTGAAAATACTCTTTTTTTTTTTTGGTAAGGTGGAGTCTCGCTTTGTCACCCAGGCTGGAGTGCAGTGGCATGATTTCGGCTCACTGCAACCTCCACCTCCTCGGTTCAAGCAATTCTTCTGCCTCAGCCTCTTGAGTAGCTGGGATTACAGGCATGTGGAGGCACATGCCACCATGCCCAGGTAATTTTTGTATTTGTAGTAGAAATGGGGGTTTCACCATGTTGGCCAGGCTGGTCTCGAACTCCTGACCTCAAGTGATCCACCTGCCTTGACCTCCTAAAGTGCTGGGATTATAGGCATGAGCCACTGCACAGGGCCAAAAAACTTTTTTCTATTGAATTACTTCAGTGTCTTTATGAAAAATCAGTTGACTGTATCATTGTGGGTTTATTTTGAATTATCTATTTTGTTTTGGTAGTTTTCAACCAATATGTCTTCAAACATTTTTTTTCTGCCCCATTCTCTGTCTCTTCTTTTGGGTCTCCAATTACACATATATTAAACTGCTTAATATTGTTACATGGGTTTCTAAAGCTTTGTTTCTTTTTATTCAATATTTTCCTCTCCATTTCTCAGCTTGTATAATTTCTAACGTTCTAGTTTTATGTTTATTGACTTTCCTCTACCACCTTCAATCTGCTATTAAACCCATTTAGTGACTTTTTCATTTTATAGTATTTTTCCTCTCTAAAATTTTCATTTTGTTCTCTTTTATAGGTTTTATTTCTCTAATTATATGCCCCATCTGCTCATTATGAATATATCTTCCTCTAAGTCCTTAAACATATTCATAATAGCTGCTTTAAAGTCTCTGTCTTCTAATTGCAACATCTGCATCATCTTGGAGTTGGGGTCTTTTGAGTTATTTTAATCTTCGTTATTGGTCACATTTTTCTATTTCTTGCACATGTGTATTGATAATTGATCAATACTGGACATTATAAAAATTTATGTATAGAGTCTGAATTTTGTTATTTTTCCCTGAAGAATTATTTTTGTTAAATATGCTGGACTTGAAACTCCAAATTTTGTCTCTCCTGCAATGTATGTGTGTTGTTTTCTTTTTTCTTATTTGTCACACTTCCTTCTGGGATTTTCTCTATGCAAAGAGAGTTAATGGTCAGCCAAAGAATTAGGTGGATTTTATGTGCAGATTTCAGGGTTCATTCCTCTGTGGATCTCTATCTTCTAGGATTTCTCACCTAATTTTCTACCTTTTTTACCAGTCTCAATTTCTATTCCTTAACACATTAAGCCAATAAGACTGTGGCTTTCTGCACATTGGGATTTGTTGCATTGGAGAATGCCACAAACTAAAATATATCCTTCACAGTTAATTTTTATACCATTGATTCCTCATTAGTTTCTTCCTGTATTTGGTAATACTCCTGTTTCTCTAAAAACTTAGATAATTCTAAAAATATTTTCCCATATTTTTAATTGTTATCTAATGAAAGACTAATGCAGCCAAGTTTTTCTACTGTTACTAGAAGCCAGAACAATTGATGTATTTTTTTAAATTACATTTTCTCAGTGTTTTTTGCTGGTATAGAAATGCAATTAATGTTTGTATGTTGATTTATATCCAACATCCTTGCTTAACTCTCTTCTTTATTCAAACACATTAGATCATTGCAGGTTTTTTACATATACAATAATATAATTGTGAAAAATCACACTTTTGTTTCCTCTTTTCAGATTCTTCTACTTTTTATTATGTTTTCTTGCCTTTCGGTACTGGCTAGGACTTTCAGTGCAATGATCAATACAAGCGGTAAGAATAAACACTCTTGACGTGTCAATTTTTTTGCCATTAATTAACAGTTAATTTGAGGTTTCTTGTGGCTTTCACTTAACTGTTAAATAAATTATTCTTTTTCTAATTTTCTAGTTTTTTAAAAATCATGTAAATGTGTAGAATTCATAAAACACTCATCTACATCTATTCAAATAACTATATGATTTTGATTTTTTTCTTAATGTATTAATGCATTGAATTATAGTAAATGATGGCTTTTTTTTTTTTTTTTTTTTTGCAACAGAGTTTCGCTCTGTTGCCCAGGCTGGAGTGCAGTGGCACGGTCTTGGCTCACTGCAACCTCCACCTCCCAGGTTCAAGCGATTCTCCTGCCTCAGCCTCCTGAGTAGCTGGGATTATAGGCGCCTGCCCCCATGCCCAGCTAATTTTTTGTATTTTTAGTAGAGACGGGGTTTCACCATGTTGCCCAGGCTGGTCTTGAACGCTTGACCTTGTGATCCACCCGCCTCGGCCTCCCAAAGTGCTGAGATTACAGGCGTGAGCCACCACACCTGGCCTTGATGGTCTAAGGTTAAACTAATCTTGTATTAAAGAGATCTAACACAAGATCTGGTAATCACATATCATCTTTTTAATCCATTACAGGATGTTATTTGCTAATATTTTGTTTAGAACTTTTGCATCCATGTCCATAAGAGATATTGACCTATAATAACCATTTCTTGTACTGTTGTTCAACTATTGGTATCAGCATTTAGACTTCTAAGACAGAAACCATTGAAGAGTCTTATAACTCTAGAGGAAACATGCTTTTTATTTTAGATTCAGAAACTACATGTGCAGTATTGTTAAACGGATATAGTATATAATGCTGGGATTTGGTCTTCTATTGATCCCATCACCCAAAGAGTGACCATAATACCAAATAAGTTACGTTTCAATTGTTTTTCCCTCCTGTCATCCTCCTCCCTTTTGGAGTCCCCAGAATCTATTGTTTACATCTTTATGTCTGTATGTACCCATCGTTTAGCTCCTACTTACAAGTGAGAATATGTGGTATTTGATTTTTTGTTTCTGCATTAATTCACTTAGGATAATGGCCCCCAGCTCCATCCGTGTTGCTGCAAAGGACGTGATTTCACTGTTTTTTTATGGTTGCATAGTATTCCATGCTGTATATGTACCATATTTGCTTTATCCAATCCACCATTGATGGGCACCTAGGTTGATTCCATGTCCTTGCCTTTGCGAATCGTGCTGTGATAAACATGTGAGTGCAGGTGCCTTTTTGGTACAAATGATTTCTTTTCCTTTGGGTAGATACCCAATAATAGGATTGCTGGGTGGAATGGTAGTTTTTTGTTTAGTTCTTTGAGGAATTTCTAAACTGCTTTTCATGGGGGCTGAACTATATTACATTCCCACCAACAGTGTATAAGCATTCCCTTTCTCCCCATTCTTGACAACATCTGTTATTTTTTACTTTTTAATAAGAGCCATTTTGACTGGTGTGAGATGCTAACTTATTGTGGTTTTAATTTACATTTCTCTGATGATTAGTGATGTTGAGCATTTTTTCATATGCTTCTTGGCCATTTGTATGTCTTCTTTTGAGAATTGTCTGTTAGTGTCCTTTGCCCACTTTTTAATGGAGTTATTTGATTTTTTTTCTTGTTGATTTAAGTTCCTTATAGATTCTGAATATTATTCCTTTGTGGAATGCATAGTTTGCAAATATTGTCTTCCATTCTGTAGGTTGTCCATTTACTCTATTGATAATTTATTTTGCCCTGCAGAAGTCCTTTACTTTAATTAGGTCCCAGTTGTACATTTTTGTTTTTGTTGCATTTGCTTTTGAGGTCTTAGTTATAAATTTTTGCCTAGGCCAGAAGAGTATTTCCTAGGTTTTGTTCTAATATTTTTTACAGATTGAAGTCTTACATTTACATCTTTAAATGTAAAACTTACATTTAAAGATTACATTACAAATGTAATATTGAGCTAATTTTTTATATGGTGAGAGGTAGAAGTCCAGTTTCATTCTTCTGCATATAGCTAGCTAGTTTTTCCAGCATCATTTATTAAATAGGTTGTCCTTTCCCCATAGTTTATTTTTGTTGACTTTGTCAAAGACTAGTTGGTTGTAGATATATACAGCTTTGTTTCTGGGTTCTCTAATTTGTTCCATTGGTCTATGTGTCTATTTTTTTTTTTAACAAATACCATGCTGCTTTGTTTACTGTGGCCTTATAGTATAGTTTGAAGTTGGGTAATGTGGTGCCTCCATCTTTATTCTTTTTGCTTAGGATTGCTTTGGATGTTCAGGTTCTTCTCTTGTTTCATACAAATTTTGAATTGTTTTTTCTGATTCTGTAAAAAATGACATTGGCAGTTTGATAAAAATTGTGTTAAATCTGTAGATTGCTTTGGGCAGTATGGACATTTTAACAATATTGATTATTCTATTCCATGAGAATAGAATAATGTTTTTCTTTTTGTTTATGTCTTCTATGATTTCTTTCATCGGTGTTTTCTAGTTTTCCTTGTAGAGATATTTTACCTCCTTGGTTAAATGTACTCCTAGATATCTTTTGTGTATGTGTGGCTATTGTAAATGGGATTGTGTTCTTGATTTGGTTCTCAGCTTGAGCTTTGAACATTATTGGTATATAGGAATGCTATTGATTTTTGTACATTGATTTTGAATTCTGAAACTTTACTGAAGTCATTTATCAGGTACAGGAGTCTTTTGGAGGAGTCTTTAGAGTTTTGTAGGTATACAATTATATCATTAGCAAACAGAGATAATTTGACTTCCTCTTTTCCTATTTATATATTTATTGCTTTCTCTTGCCTGATTGCTCTGATTAGGACTTCCAGTATGATGTTGAATAGGAGTGGTGAAAGTGGGTATTCTTGTCTTGTTCCAGTTCTTAGGGAGAATGCTTCCAACTTTTACCCATTCAGTATATTAGCTGTGGGTTTGTCATAGACGACTCTTACCATTTTGAGATAAGTTCCTTTGATGACTATTTTTTTGAGGGTTTTTATCATGAAGCAATGTTGAATTTTATCAGTGCTTTTTCTATGTCTACTGAGATGATCATATCGTTTTCATTTTTAATTCTGTTTATGTGGTGAATCACATTTATTGATTTGCATATATTAAACCATCCTTGCATCCTAGAAATAAAGTGCCCTTGGCATGATGAATTATTTTTTTGATGTGTTATTGGATTCAGTTTGCTAGTATTTTGTTGAAGATTTCTGTGTCTATGTTCATCAGGAATATTGGCCTGTAGTTTTCCTTTTTTGTTGTGTCCTTGCCAGATTTTGGTATCAGGATGATGCTGCTTTCAAAGAATGAGTTAGAGAGGAATGCCCCCCTCCTCTCTTAGAATAGTTTCATTAGGATTGGTAGTAGTTGTTCTTTGTATGTCTGGTAGAATTCAGCTGTGAAGCTATTTGGTCCAAGGCTTTTTTTTAATAAGTTTTTATTACTGATTCAGTTTTGTCACTTATTATTGGTTTGCTCAGAGTTTCAATTTCTCCCTCCCTCAATCTTTGGAGGTTGTGTGTTTCCAGGAATTTATTCATTTCCTGTAGATTCTCTAGTTTACATGCGTAGAGACATTCATAGTAGTCTCTGCGGGTCTTTCATATTTCTGTGAGATTAGTTGTGATGCTGCCTTTGTCATTCTTGATTGTGATTATTTGGATCTTCTTTTATTTTCCTAGCTGGTGGTCTATCAATCTTGCTTATCTATCAAAAAAACACTTTTCCTTTTGTTGATCCTTTGTACGGATTTTTTGGTCTCGATTTCATTTAGTTCTGCTCTGATTTTAGTGCTTTCTTTTCTTCTAGTTTTGGGTTTAATTTGTTCTTGTTTTTCTAGTTCCTTTAGGTGCAACGTTAGGTTGTTAATTGAGATCTAATTTCTTGATGTAGGCATTTAGTGCCACAAACTTTCCTCTTAACACTGTTTAGTCATATCCCAGAGGTTTTTTGTACATTACATCTCTATTTTCATTTCTTTTAATGAGTTTTTTTATTTATGCTTTAATTTCATTGTTTACCCAAAAGTCATTCGGAAGCAAGGTGTTTAGTTTTCATGTATAGAGGAAACATTTTAAAAAGCTATCTAGCAGAATGCTTCCTCATTCCTAGGGGACTCACTTCCTGGTTCCTCAACTGCTTCTGATGTTTCTTCTTATCTAAAAAAATAAAATACTGTGTACAATAATCTTTTAATTAAAGCACGGCATTATAGGTGCTGAGTGAAAGCCTGCCATTATTTGTTGCTGCTGTTGTTTAGCAGCTGAGGCAGGTATTCTGGTGACTCTACTGTGCTGCTTGGTTACCCTGAATACATTATTTTTTTCCTCTGTGTTAATGGTATGTTATGTTTTTTACTGTTAAGTACTTATGTGAGAATAAGAGTAAGAAAATGATTGCTTATCAGTAGCAAATAAATTCAGAGTCAGGAATGATGGTAATGCCAAACAACTACAGATTGTCCATGTAGGTGCTGAGATAGTGACACCTTTGCTTTCTGAGGCTTCACTGTACACAAACTTTGTTTCATGCACAAATTATTCAAAGTGTTATATAAAACTACCTTCAGCCTATGTGTATAAGGTATATATAAAACATAAATGAATTTTGTATTTAGACTTGGGTATCATTTCCAAGATATCTCATTATGTACAGTCATGCATCGCTTAACAATGGAAATACATTCTAAGAAATGCATTGTTAGGCAATTTCTTTGTTGTGCAAATATTATAGAGCTTATACATACCTAGATGGCATAGCCTACTACACATATAGGCTACATGATATAACCTATTGCTCCTAGGCTACAAACCTGTACAACATGTTACTGTACTGAATACTTTAGGCAATTATAACAGATCATTAAATATGAGTATTATGATATGTTATTATAATCTTACAGGACCACCATTGCATATGTGGTCTATCATAGACCAAATAATGTTTATGTGGTGCCTGACTGAATATGCAAATATTCTAATATCTGAAAAAAATCTAAAATCTGAAACACCGCTGGTCCCAAATATTTTATATAGGGAATACTCAACCTCCACATTCAAATACTCCATGTATATTGCTAGTAAAACTTCCCCAAATTACCATACGCATGATAGTCCAGATTATCATTCAGAAAATACTCACTCAACTCTTTTCTATTGTGAGAAGACATACTTTCCCACCCTATTCTTGTTGGCTGGGCTTAGCCATGTGATTTGATTTGTCCAATGGAATGTCAGCAAATGGGACATGGGGAAAGGCTTAAAATGTGTCTGTGCAATGGGGCTTGTTTGCTTGGGCTCTTGCCATTGTCATGGGAAGAACTACTCATGCCTTGGGTAGCTAACTGGTACAAAATGAAAGTAGCAGGTGGGGCAGAGGCACTCTTGCTGACCCACAGGCACAAGGAAGAAGATGAGCCATCACAGCCAACCTGCACGATCTGAAGCAGGGCACCCAGGCTGACCTGCAGATTTGTGAGCAAGATAATAGACATTTATTATTACATGCCACTAAATTTGGGGATGGTTTATTATGCAGTGATAGCTGATTGATACAGGAATTTATATCTACAAGCAGGTGCTTATGTTAACAAAAACTTAAAATATATGGCTCAAGGAAACTTAAACGAAGCTGAAAAATGGTGACTTGTGCTAGGTGATGGTGAAATCGTTGGTAAAATGTCTCTCATGATAATCTGTAAGGCAGAAAGTGTACCAGATGAAATGGTACAGTTGAATTCTGAGGCAAAGTGTGGAATATGAGCTGGCTTCTGTTGACTGTGTGGAATAAGATACAAGAGAGTAATAAGTTCAGAAAAGAATTGGCTTGGGTACAAACAGAATTAAGAGGAAAAATAAAGAGCCTAAAAATTTCAGAACTAGAAGGGTTGGAAAACAAAACTCTTTCTTACCAAATCAAAATGTGACCCATATGACACAATTTCAGGGAAAAATCCAACCCAGGCTACTTTCAGTAAGATTTTAAACCTGTAACACTCTTTATTAAAACCCCTTAAAGGGACCAGGCATGGTGACTTCTGCCTGTAATCTCAGCACTTTGGGAGGTCAAGGCGGGAGGATTGCTTGAGGCCAGGAGCTTGAGACCAGCCTGGGCACAGTGAGACCCCCATCTCTACAAAAAATAAAAATAAAAATATTAGCTGGGCATGGTGACACAGGCCTGTAATCCCAGTTACTCAGGAGACTGAGGCAAGAAGATTGTTTAAGCCCAGGAATTTGAGTTTATAGTGAGCTATGACGCTGTGATTGGCAACTGCCCTTTAGTCTGGCCAACAGAGCAAGACCCCATCTATATATTTAAAAAAAACACCTCTCGGCTGGGTGTGGTGGCTCACACCTTTAATCCCAGCACTTTGGGAGGCCCAGGTGGGTGGATCACTTAAGGCCAGGAGTTCGAGACCAGCATGGCCAACATTGTGAAACCCCCATCTCTATTAAAATACAAAAATTAGCCGGGCTTGGTGGCACAAGCTACTCAGGAGGCTGAGAGACACAAGAATCGCGTAAGCCTGGGAGGTGGAGGACGCAGTGAGCCGAGATCATACCACTGCACTCCAGCCTGGGTGACAGAGCAGGTGGTTCTGTCTGTCTCCAGCAGGGTGACAGACAGGCGCAGTGGTTCACGCCTGTAATTCCAGCACTTTGGGAAGCCGAGATGGGCAGATCACTTGAGGTCAGGAGTTTGAGACCAGCCTGGCCAACATGGTGAAACCCCATTTCTACTAAAAATACAAAAATTAGCTAGGCGTGGTTGCTCACACCTGTAATCCCAGCTACTCAGGAGGCTGAAGCAGAATAATCGCTTGAACTTGGGAGGCAGAGGTTGCAGTGAGCCTAGATCATGCCACTGCACTCCAGTCTGGGTGACAGAGTAAGACTCCGTCTCAAAGAATAAATAAATAAAAATAAACAAATAAATATATAAATAACAAAAAAATAAAAAATAAAAAAACACCTCTCAAAGGATGAAGATGTTCTATATTAGAACTTTTATCTGGGCCAGGCGCGGTGGCTCACGCCTGTAATCCACACTTTGGGAGGCCGAGGTGGGTGGATCATGAGGTCAGGAGTTCAAGACCAGCCTGGCCAACATGGGGAAACCCAATCTCTACTAAAAATACAAAAATTAGCCAGGCGTGGTGGCACATGCCTGTAATCCCAGCTACTTGGGAGGCTGAGGGACAGAATTGCTTGAACCTGAGCGGTAGAGGTTGCAGTGAGCTGAGATCGCACCACTGCACTCCAGCCTGGCAACAGAGCAAGACTCCGTCTCAAAAAAAAAAAAAAAAAAAAAAAAAAAAAAAAAAGGTTATCTGGACAGAAGTGTCCCTAGAAAGTCTAATGATGCAGTTCTACAGAAGCCTGATGATCACAGAGTACTAAAAGCTAAGTAGGGGCGAAGGATGAGAAGAAAGGTGTTTCTCAAGAAGTATTGTTGTGATGATTTTTGGTACATACATTTGATTAAAATCAAATATAGAGAAAGACCTGGCAAACCGAATCCAGCAGCACATCAAAAAGCTTATCCACCATGATCAAGTGGGCTTCATCCCTGGGATGCAAGGCTGGTTCAATATATGTAAATCAATAAATGTAATCCAGCATATAAACAGAACCAAAGACAAAAACCACATGATTATCTCGACAGATGCAGAAAAGGCCTTTAACAAAATTCAACAACCCTTCATGCTAAAAACTCTCAATAAATTAGGTATTGATGGGACATATCTCAAAATAATAAGAGCTATCTATGACAAACCCACAGCCAATATCATACTGAATGGGCAAAAACTGGAAGCATTCCCTTTGAAAACTCTCTCACCACTCCTATTCAACATAGTGTTGGAAGTTCTGGCCAGGGCAATTAGGCAGGAGAAGGAAATAAAGGGTATTCAATTAGGAAAAGAGGAAGTCAAATTGTCCCTGTTTGCAGACGACATGATTGTATATCTTGAAAACCCCATTGTCTCAGCCTGAAATCTCCTTAAGCTGATAAGCAACTTCAGCAAAGTCTCAGGATACAAAATCAATGTACAAAAATCACAAGCATTCTTATACACCAACAACAGACAAACAGAGAGCCAAATCATGAGTGAACTCCCATTCACAATTGCTTCAAAGAGAATAAAATACCTAGGAATCCACCTTACAAGGGAAGTGAAGGACCTCTTCAAGGAGAACAACAAACCACTGCTCAATGAAATAAAAGAGGACACAAACAAATGGAAGAACATTCCATGCTCATGGGTAGGAAGAATCAATATCGTGAAAATGGCCATACTGCCCAAGGTAATTTATAGATTCAATGCCATCCCCATCAAGCTACCAATGACTTTCTTCACAGAATTGGAAAAAACTACTTTAAAGTTCACATGGAACCAAAAAAGAGCCCGCATCGCCAAGTCAATCCTAAGCCAAAAGAACAAAGCTGGAGGCATCACGCTACCTGACTTCAAATTATACTACAAGGCTACAGTAACCAAAACAGCATGGTACTGGTACCAAAACAGAGATATAGATCAATGGAATAGAACAGAGCCCTCAGAAATAACGCCGCATATCTACAACTATCTGATCTTTGACAAACCTGAGAAAAACAAGCAATGGGGAAAGGATTCCCTATTTAATAAATGGTGCTGGGAAAACTGGCTAGCCATAAGTAGAAAGCTGAAACTGGATCCCTTCCTTACACCTTATACAAAAATCAATTCAAGATGGATTAAAGACTTAAACGTTAGACCTAAAACCACAAAAACCCTAGAAGAAAACCTAGGCATTACCATTCAGGACATAGGCACGGGCAAGGACTTCATGTCTAAAACACCAAAAGCAATGGCAACAAAAGCCAAAATTGACAAATGGGATCTAATTAAACTAAAGAGCTTCTGCACAGCAAAAGAAACTACCATCAGAGTGAACAGGCAAACCATAAAATGGGAGAAAATTTTCGCAACCTACTCATCTGACAAAGGGCTAATATCCAGAATCTACAATGAACTCAAACAAATTTACAAGAAAAAAACAAACAACCCCATCAAAAAGTGGGCGAAGGACATGAACAGACACTTCTCAAAAGAAGACATTTATGCAGCCAAAAAACACATGAAAAAATGCTCACCATCACTGGCCATCAGAGAAATGCAAATCAAAACCACAATGAGATATCATCTCACACCAGTTAGAATGGCAATCATTAAAAAGTCAGGAAACAACAGGTGCTGGAGAGGATGTGGAGAAATAGGAACACTTTTACACTGTTGGTGGGACTGTAAACTAGTTCAACCATTGTGGAAGTCAGTGTGGCAATTCCTCAGGGATCTAGAACTAGAAATACCATTTGACCCAGCCATTCCATTACTGGGTATATACCCAAAGGACTATAAATCATGCTGCTATAAAGACACATGCACACGTATGTTTATTGCAGCATTATTCACAATAGCAAAGACTTGGAACCAACCCAAATGCCCAACAATGATAGACTGGATTAAGAAAATGTGGCACATATACACCATGGAATACTATGCAGCCATAAAAAATGATGAGTTCATGTCCTTTGTAGGGACATGGATGAAATTGGAAATCATCATTCTCAGTAAACTATCGCAAGAACAAAAAGCCAAACACCGCATATTCTCACTCATAGGTGGGAATTGAACAATGAGAACAACACATGGACACAGGAAGGGGAACATCACACTCTGAGGACTGTTGTGGGGTGGGGGGAGGGGGGAGGGATAGCATTGGGAGATATACCTAATGCTAGATGACGAGTTAGTGGGTGCAGCACACCAGCATGGCACATGTATACATATGTAACTAACCTGCACATTGTGCACATGTACCCTAAAACTTAAAGTATAATAATAATAAATTAAAAAAAAGAAAGACCATAATGTTTTTGAGAGAGTTGTATTGGCAAAAGTGTTACGAGCCTGGACTAAAATAGTCTAAGACTGTGAAAGACATTATAAGATCTCTGGACCTCCAAATTTCTATAAGCAGGAAGCCAACTTAAATAGCTATTCAACTACCAAAAAGGGTATGTTCTCCCATACTATCCTCAGAAATGGCCAAAGAGCTGGATGGATAGAGAAGGAACTTCAAAATGGAGAAACCAAGAGCTAGGGACAATGGTGGACTAGAATATGATATTACAATCTTATGGGACCTGCCACTTTCCCAGGGGCCTAATTAATTAGGGCCTAATTGAAGGACATTTCTCACTCTCAAGGTAGGGGAAATTAGCAAAAACTCAGAATATTAAGGATCATTGGCTTCACCATTCCTTGTTCTTCCCCTTTTTAAACAGAGATGTGTATTGTAGTTGTGCCGTCCTTGTTCAACCGTTTAATGTTGGGTGTGTCATGGCAATTAACTTGTCATTTTTTTGCACCTAGATTTTTAGGTTAAGAGGAGCATACCCAGTCTGACATAAATTGTAAGATCAGATATAAGATCTGATAAAAATTGTAAGGACTTTGAGCCTGTTTTATAATTTGCTGAGACTTTGTGGGATCTTGGTAAGGTATATTTTATATGTGCAAGGGACCTGAATATTTATGAACAAGAGATCAGACTGGAACAGCTTGGATTATTGCTCAGCAGAGAATCACTACCTTCTCCGAGACTTCATCAAGGCTTAATATGTGCCAGGACATTAGGACTTGACATCTGCTCTTCATCCACCACCATAAGAACAAGCCCCAGATAGCCCAATCACCCCAGATAAATAAGAAATATGTGGAGCAGAGCTGAAAATGGCATGCTGGTGCAACCGTAGTGGGTTGGCTACCTGCTTATGCAGTTTATTTCTCCTTTAGTTCTTCTTGAGCTCAATCTTGGCTATACCACTTGCTTCTTATAATAATTGCTGCTACACCCACCCAACTTATAATGATTGCTGCTAGGTCCACCCAACTTTATGACTTGGGAGGTCTGGTTGATTCAGCTTATGAGGGGCAGTTCTGAATCTGTGGTCATTTAGTATCCCATGGTCCAGTGTTCCACAGCTACCAGGGCCCAATAGCCTACTAGGAAGTATTTTTCAAAAGGTACATGATGCTCTGCTGTAGATGTCATGGCCTAGCTCCAGAATCTCAGGGAACTGTATTGTGATTCTTCCCTTGGGGCTTGCCACGAACTCCACATTGCATCTTTTCCTACCATTGACACCTCTAACACCAAAAGATCTACTAGATGACAGAGTTCAAAAGGAGGCACTGTTCACACCACAGCTTGGACCTATTGCAGAGCCCCTTCCTGCTCCAGCTCCCACTTAGAGTTGGCACCCTGTCCTATGACCTGGGATGTGGCATGGAGAGGAATGTGTAGGTATGGAATATGTTACTTCTGGAAACTAAAAAGACCTACAGGGCCAGGCGCAGTGGCTCATGCCTGTAATCCTAGCACTTTGAGAGGGTGAGGCAGGTGGATTGCTTGAGCCCAGGAGTTCGAGACCAGCCTGGGCAACATGGCAAAACCCCATCTCTACAAAAAATACAAAAATTAGCTGGGCTTGGTGGCACATGCCTGTAGTTACAGCTACTCAGGAGGCTGAAGTGATAGGATCACTTGAGCCTGGGAGGTTGAGGTTGCAGAGAGCTGTGATCATGCCACTGCATTCCAGCCTGGGTGACAGACTGAGACCTTTTCTCAAAAAAAAAAAAAAAAAAAAAAAAAAAAAAACCTGTTTATTTGTGCTTTCTTATTTGTAGTTGGATGCAAGATACAGAATTTTTTTTTTATTTTTATTTTTTGCCTTGGACGGGATTCCTGGCAAGGAACCCCTGAAAACTTTTATGAAGTGGCAGTTTACTTTATCTTTGTAGAGTTCATCATCTATCCTCTGAAGCACATCATTGTATTAAGGCCCCCAGCAGAGTAGTCGCTTTAGCTTACCTTGTCCAATTAGCATGATATCACAGATGTACTGGATCAATATGATATCCTGCGGTATGTCCAGATGGTCCATATCTCTTTGAATTTTATTATCAACAAGCATGGCAGAGTTAACATAGCACTGAGGTAAAACTGTAAAGAAAGGTTTTTGTTCATTCTATGTGAATGCAAGCAATTTTTGGTCCTCTTTTCTGATGCATAAAAATATGTGTTTGCCCATTTAGTGGCTACAATACAACACCCAGCATGGCAGATGTATTCAGGAATGTTACTTGGTTGAGTGGTAGTCTACAGTTATTTCAAGGATTTATCTGATTTATTCAGGGTTCATGGACAAATTAAATGGAGCTAGGATAGGTACCACCAGTCCTACATCCTTTAGAGCTTTAAGAGCGACACTAATCTCTGCCATTGCCCTCTAGAATGTGATATTGTTCTTGCCCATGGGTAGAGGGGGTGGCAGTTTCAGAAAGTTCCACTTCGCATTCTGCACAGCAACAATTGTCACCCAACAAGCCAAGAATCCAGGGTGCAGGTTACTCCACTGCCACGTATTTTAATCCCAGTTATGCTCTTGGAGACTCGAGAAATGGACCCACTGCAAGCCTGATTTAATCCTGTTTCCATTTATTTCCTGGTTCCTGTATGCTCCATTCTAATACGGGGGCCAGGATAATACTCTGGATCATTGGGTATCAATGTCAATGCATTATCTGTGTCCAATAGTCATCAAAATGAGTATTCCCTTTTCTCCCCCAGTGTATAGTCATCCAAGTAAGTGGTCAAATGTCCCTTTGGAAAAGATTCCTGGAGGAATCTTTGCAGTATATACTTGCTGTGACATTATATGATTCTTACTCCAACTCTTAACTCAATAGGTTCTGACGTGAAAGTTGGGTTAGGCCTAGAAATTGAGCAACAGATCATGATATTTTATTAGTGCAACTAGCATCAGCTTTCTGCTTTTCCACTCTCACCCTGTTTTAATCATATATATTCAGAAACATCTTTCTTGGCTCCCCATCTGTCCTGCCCTTCAGCTCTCAGGTATAATCAACCATCCTCTTAATTCCCCATAAGTGACCCTCACTTTTGGATCCTGTGTTTGTTTCTCAGCTGTATCTAATCATCCACTGCAGGTGATAATGACCTCTTTTTAAGCTACCAATAAAGCTGTCTGGCCAACATGCTTAATTTTTAGCTGTTTGTTAACTACCCTGTTTCTCTTTATCACACTGTAGAGGGTCAAGGCAACTTAGTAATAATGAGTCAATCCCACTGTCCCGTGTGCATTGTCCCATGTACCTTTCCAATTTCTGAGTCTTCACATTAGGAAGGGCATTCCTTCCACTGGGACATTTTCCAGGTCCACAACTGTTGAAAGTTTTACCAATTGGGCTGCCACCTTATGCTAAGAACTGTCCATGAACCACATACCATAGCCAGATGGTGGTCAGAGATTCAATTTCCAAACCCCATCTTGCCACTTGCCTTCTTGGTCCAGTTCTGGTGACAACTGTGTCAGTTTGGATTCTCAAAGATGCAGATATCAAGACAGTGTAAGAAAGGCAAGCAAATCACTGCGGATAATACCTATGAAAAATATAGGAGCAAAGGAGCAGGAGTCAGCAGGGGTGACCTTCAGACTGCAATGCAAATCCATCATCCCTGAAAGGATAGAAGGAAGGAAGGAGGATGTGGTGGGAAGAGCCTCAGAAGACTGCCATGGAGCTCTGAAAAAGTTTTGGCGGTATGCATGTTGGGCAGAAATGGCAAAGTCTTATTCCCGTGCCTACATATGTACCCTTATGCTCAGTTCTTGGCTGTAGCCAATGGAGGAGTGTATCTCCTCAGCTCAAATACCATGCAAGGGATAATTTCCCCTTTTTAAGCCACCAGAGAACTCTTTGGCCAACATGCTGCAGCTGGAGACTGTTGGCTCACAGCATTCGTCGTGAAAGCTTCCCTCTTATGAGATGATCTGAGCAGTGCCTGTTCTCCTAGAGGATAGCAGCAGCCCTGCAGAACAGGCCCAGAGAGCTTTCCAGTCCATTCATATCAACAGAATCAAATATATATATCAATCTTGCTATGTTTATTGTAGGCCTACTATGTGTCAAATAGACTTGGTTCACAGTGATACAAAAATGACTAATGCATTGTCTGCTTTGTCACTCAGAGCCTGCAGAGAACTAAGACACATAAAATATTAAATATGGCACAATGCTTGGGCACAGTTGCTCATGCCTATAGTCCCAGCTACTCGGGAGGCTGAGGTGGGAGGATCACTTGAGCCCAGAAATTAAAGGTTGCAGTGAGCTATAATTATGCCACTGAGCTCCAGCCTGGATGACAGAGTGAGACCCTGTCTCAAAAAGAAATAAATAAGACACGATGTTGAAATTAGTGCAGTGCAAGTATGTATAACGATCTTAGGAGCACAAATAAGAGCTTGATTCTTTCTGCCTTGACCAGTCAGGGAAGGCTTCATAGAGAGGGGGTGATCAAAAGAAGAGCAAGAGTTTGTCCAGCAGGTCATAGGGCCAGGGCATTACAGGCAGAGGAAACTGTGTCCTCAGAGCACCTAACATACTCACTTAGCTATGGTAGGAGCCCAATGACTATATGCTGAAATAAGCATGGTGCTCAAAGTGGGAATCTTTAAGCTGCCAGCTACAGAAACTAACTCAAGTACAGTGAGGCATTTTAAGGGTCCCTAGAAATCTCATAGTGTGTAAACACCAAAAATTTAAAAATACATACAGCTGGGTCCCATGGGAATTTTAATTGAGTACTGGAAAAGCATCTGAACTGAAGCCCTTTCCGCATCTCTGTGTCCCACAGCAGCCACGTGCCCCCACTCTCCTCAGCACGTCTGCTCCAAGTCTCTCTACAAACTGGATCTATCACTTCTCAGCTGTCTACGACTCAACCCAGTCATCTCTCTCTCTCTCCTAGTCTACATGACCTTCTAGCTCCAGCACTCTCTGTAAGTTAAAAACAGATGCCACATTCTATGTGTCTCACTGTAGTGATGTGTGCAACTTACTTTCACATGCATTAAAAAATAAGATATATTGATGGATCACTAGAAGAACGGCTAGAGAGATAGATATGTAATAAAATAGATGGTGAAATGTTAATCATTGAATCCTATGGTGGCTTTATAAGTATTTAATGTGTAATTTTTTCAAATTTTCTAAATGTTTCATAACAAAATGATGGGGGGAAGCAAACAAATTCTCAAGAGGGGGAATCTGATTGGCCCAGGTTATCTCTGTGCTGGGCCACATGAGTCCTAGGTTAGGTAATGAGTTGGCTGGCTACCTTTTAATCAGGTTCAAATCAGGTTTGAGTCCTGGTTCAGTCAGCCATGGCTCTGGGGACAAGAAGTTCCATGATACAGCAGGCTGCTTCTGCAACAGGCTGTGTGTGAGGCTAACACTGTGAAACATGCCTCCATACCAGGTTTAATGGAAATAAGGGAAGAAATAAACAGAGGAACTAGATTTCTACCATACTCAGGATGAGAACACTGTATCTATGTATGTAAACCTTTGGGGGCCAAGAGGAAAGGAAAAACTATACAGTTACTCTAAAAAGGGAGTCTGCTGCTCAGAAAAGGGAGTCTCTGCCCCTTCTTTTGCTCACCTCCTCTGACCTTCATGCCACCAAAAATTCTGTCACCTAGAGGGAATGCATTTCCAGTCTCAGCAACAGGCAGATTGGTATTATCTGCCAGGAAGTGGTGAGTTTTGATTTAAGGATCTCTTAGGTAAGGAATAGAATGAAATGCAAGCAAGGCCAGGGTGAGGACAGAGGGTGGCAGGATGCAGGAGAAACATATAGAATAAAACAATTTTTATCCACTGACAAAATATAGATGGTGAACTCAGAAGTTTTCCGCCATAATAAACAAGAAGAAGAAGTGCAAGAAGTGGACATATAACTTTATGACCTGAGAAATTGAATTGCCTCTTACAGATTTTTACTTTTTGCTGGACAACGAAGAACTTCGTCATCTCAGTCAAGGATGGGTCATAAAAGCCACTGGAAGGAGAGGAATCAGCCCTGTCTGATTAGAATCCGGGAGGTCTTAGTTTGCAGGCCATGCTTTATATATCTGAGCTTCACCCAGTGGAAGCTCTGAGCTCTGTGAATTACAGTGCTTCACAGCCACAAAAGCCCTGTCTCACCCATCATAAACACCAGGGAAAGACAAGGCCACCCTCTACAATCGGTAGCCTGAGAGAGATAGCAAGCCCAGACACAACAGGGCACAGAAGACAGCTGCGGAGCCCCCACTAGTGATGGCAGCTGGACCCAGGCCTGTAGCTAATTAAGATTTGAGATCCCACTAAAGGGAGATTCCTTCACTCACCCCGACCTACCATGGGCTATATTGAGTAATACAACTTATCATATGAACACAGCTCACCTTACAAAAGACGAAACACATCATCTTCTATATCTATCCTAGATAGGAAAGGAATGAAGTAGACATGAGAGAGTCAGAAAAGATTTGGTCCTTGTACAGTCCTGCCAATTACTGGAATTTGAATTCAAGCTCCAAATTACTCAGTTCTACTTACTTTATTTTCTAAACATTTTTTGAAGCTTTCACCTCTTCTCTGTCTCCTTTGCCCCTTCTCTGTCCCTGCCAGCCCTGTCCTGGTCTTTCAGATGGATTATAGTGGCTGACCAACTATCTTCCCTGGCTCCAGTAGGGTTTCCTCCAAGCCATATTCTGTAAACTGTTAGCAGAAGATGTTTGGAAGGAAAACCTGGTGAAGGTTCTACCCTTCAGTGGAGCTTCACATCTTTCAGTAAATTCCATTTTCCTGAAGATAAAGTTCAAATTGGTTGACTTGACATTCATGGTCTTCTGTAACCTCCTCATAGAAACCATTGTGTATCCTTAGGGTGGGCTGAGTTCCCTGCATCTGTGCTTCCAGACCCCCCTGGGTATAATGCTGATATTGCAATAGTATAACAGGAGATGCTTTTCCCTTGTGTGATGTAAGATTGCAAAGTTTGGTTATTGTTCTCTATTAGGATGGAAGGAGCTGATACATGACTGAAGAGACAGACGAAGCCCAGTTGAGGGATTGACTTGGACTCACTATGGACGGAAATAAATCTGTGTAACCATCTAAAGCCTCTTCTCCAATTTCTAACCAGGCAACCGGGTCCAACCTGCCTCACAGACTTTACTATTCTAAAAGATATTTTTGTCGTTTTCTAAAAACTGCCCCCAGGCAATGGAATCTGGATGGAATTTGGGTTCCTTGAGGCTGGGAATACAACGGGGAATCTCTCCCTGGATCTACAGGAAATATAGGGAGGTTTAATCAGTCTAGAAAGGGAAGAATTGGAAATGACAGGACATCAGGATAAATAGAAGGGAAGGTCAAGACCTGAGGGACCAGAGGCTGGAACAAAAATCACACATAAGGAACAAATTTGATAGGAAGGTACGGGTGACAACTAGAGGGTGGCTTGAACAACAGGCTCAGAAGCCAAATGGCAGTTGTATCTTAGTTTTAAGTGTAAATGAATACGTGACAGGGAAGATTGAGGGCATCTTTAAAAACTATGACAAAACAAACAATACTTTAGGAAAGGTAAAACATTTCAGGGTCTTGCAATGAGGACCCCACTCTAAAAGAATTAAATTTATCATGAAATTAGTGAACCTAAAGCTTCAGGGCCTTTCACGTGCATGTCTCCCTTTTAAGGCTCTAAATATAATTTTTATTTGTAATTTTATATTATTTGTCTTGTATTACCTTCAGGCCCCACAAAATCTGTAACACCTCTACCTTTTAGCATTGCCAAGCTAGGTAATTTAATAAGGTTAGCCAGAGTTTTCTATGTCAAGCATACAAGTATTACTCTCATCAGAGTATGTCTCAAGATAGGAGTCAATAAACCCTTAACCCAAACTGCCAAGCACAAAGGAGCTTGTATGTCTAAGCAAAGGCAAGGAAACCGGAAGAATATCAGGATCCAGGAATGCCCTTTCTAGCCTCCACTGAGTAATGGTCATCAAATAGCTCACCTAGTAACATCACTTGAGAATCAGAGCTTATAAAGCAGGGAAAGAGGAATTATGTGTATGAAAACCAGAGTGATACAACTAAGGAAGTATCTGTGTGTGTGCGCATGCGTGTGTGTGTGACAGAGAGAAAAAGAGGAGAGAAAGGGAAAAAAGGAGAGGGGAAATGAAAGAGATAAAGTAAGATATAGAGACAGTGAACATATATGGAAATAGAGGGTTCAGAAGGAGAAAGACAAAAGGATAAAGTCAGTTTAATTTTAAAACTATGAACTGCACCTGCCAAATAAATTTCTCCTTCCCTTCAGTGAAGAGCAGAGTAGAATAAAAACCAATATCTTGAAAATTCAAAGAGATGGAAAAACAAAACTTAATAACAACTCAGTAATAGAACAACAAGTTCTTGTCAGTCTGGATCACTGAGGTGTCAGTCCAGACACATCAAGCAGCAGCAGGCAGGGAAGGGAACCCCATCCAAGGCATATGTGTGTATGTAAAATCAGCCTGAAATATACTTAGAGTTACATGGCTACCTTACATGTGTGATTTGAGATTTGAGAAATACCAGGGAGACACTCCAGAGCAAATACATTTCCCTCAATCAGCTAAGAGGCTGCCTGAAATTCCATTATTAGAGCAGAACATTGGAGGTTAAACACACTTTTCATGTGGTCTTCATTCAAATGGCAAATGCCCTTGATAAGGTCAACACAATAAATTATCAGCACCGTTCCATAAATTAGGACATTTACATTCTTACAGTGATTGGAGGGCTAAATTATCCTGAAAGCCCAGGGAAGCCCGAGATGAGTTAGAAATTCAAACCAAGCTTCTGAACTTCTTGCCTCCCACATGTATGTCCCCCACTCCCCACACACATGCTATTAGAATAGTTTTGTTCCCAGGCTGCCACACAGACCTTACTATTCTAAAAGCTATTCAGTCAAACTAGTCCTGGGGCATTAGCAAAACTGGCACTGATAGAACATCCAGGCAGCCCCAGGTGCCTGGTGATGGAGCTGCCACCCTCACATTCTCATCCATGAGGAGCTGCTGAAGCCTGTCCATGCTGCTCTTGGGTTGGCAGCCACTGGAAAATTGACAAAGGAGTGAAAATCAAAAGGCAAAGTCTCATTTTCATTTGAGCATTAGGAGAGCAAATGAAAAAGATGAGAATCAAAAGGGTTTTTATTCAAGATGCTTGGTTTTGAGGAGGAGAAAAATATGGGATATCTTCGTCCCCTTTCCAGCTCAGTGATGGTGAAAATAAAGCTCCAGGATGATCTATAATGTAAAAGTTGGGAGATGACTTTGTTTTGAGGGAAAAACAGCTCTGGAACTTATAAATGTCAGGCAGTCTCACAGATTGCTCACAGGAGAGGAAGGCTTGGCAACAACATTGCTCAGTGCTTGACAGAATTAATGGCCAGGGAGGAGGAGGATGTACACTTGTAGACCTGACAGGATCCTTCATCAAACACAGGACCACCATGTGGAGGAGTGAGCAGCAAGGGAGGAGCCCCGTGCTGTGGGAAACAGGAAATTCAGCACAGCAGGCAACATACCAATTGGCTTTGTGGTTGTAGGAAATTGTGGGTACCCCATGAAAATGGAGACCAAGGAAGGAGAGGAAGTAGATATCACTACAGAAAAAATAGTGTTTGACTCACTGACTCTCATAGTGGAAAGGAATTTTTTTATCGGCCAATCTCGATTCTACAAATAAAATCTAAGCAAATGACAACATCTAACAGGTAGTGAGCACCTACTATTGTACCAAGTGATCAAATACACAAGATACATAAATTCTCCCCTTCAATCTTCATCATGCTTCTTCTTATAATAGGTGTTATTATCAGAATTTTACAGAACGCTAAACTGTAAACAGAGTTTAAAGGGCTTAAGTAGCTTGTCATTCAGTTAATAAGTTGTAGACCCATGTTGGTCCAGCATCTGCACTTCTAACCTCTGTGCCTTGAGGTCCAAAGAGGCACAGAAATTTGTGCCACAGTTAGTTGGGGGCTGAGCCAACCTCAAAATTCAATTCTCTCAATCCCAAATATAGAGCCCTTAAATCACCAATACCTATTGCTCCCTCCTGAGCCAGGATGAACAAAGTCTCAGTTATGTCTCCCAGGTGCTCACGAGACAGCACAAACCAGGCAGATAATTAGTACTGAGCTATCGACTCACTCAGATTTGCCTGAGAATCAGCCAGATGTCTGAGGGAAATAGATATTTGCTTGTATTGGTAAGAGAAGATTTTGACATCTGAGAAAAGGTGTTGTGGTTCATAATGCAGGATAGCAACACATCATTGAAACTTGGACACCTATCAGAAACAGGGTATTTGAATTTTCACTTGGAAAAGTGCAGTTAGGGTGATTTTTACTCAGGGAGCACATTTTCTGAATGACTGGCTATAAAAGGCTTCAGGTTAAGGGAGACCTTGAGAAGTTATTTAGCCCATTGCCCTTCCTCCAGGCAGGATGGCATTTAAACTATCTTTGGGAAGTGATTTGTTTTCTTTTAAAAATAAAAATAACAACAAGGACTGCTACAGTCCTCTCGTGTTAAAAAGTTTCACTCATCCCCAGGGCCAAAAAACGTTCTCCTGAATATCTAAGCCAAAGCTTTCTTTCTTTCTTTCTTTCTTTTTTCATTTTTCTTTCTTTCTTTTTTGATAGAGTCTAGCTGTCACCAGGCTGGGGTGCAGTGGCCTGATCTCGGCTCACTGCAACCTCCGCCTCCTGGGTTCAAGCAATTCTTTGCCTCAGCCCCAGCTAATTTTTTTATTTTTAGTAGATATGGGGTTTCACCATCTTGGCCAGGCTGGTCTTGAACTCCTGACCTCATGATCCACCCGCCTCGGCCTCCCAAAGTGCTGAGATTACAGGTGTGAGACACTGCAGCTGGCCTAACCCAAGACTTTCTAAAGACATACAAACCTATGTCCTCTTCTCTATTTTACCGAGTTCTCTCCTGGGATGAACATTATGTATACAGCATAGTTCCTAGGACTGGGCATCTACCTGGCCTTGGTCCTCATTATGGTAGAAAAACATTCAGCCATCTCTGATATATGTGATATATGTGGTTTGTGTGGGTGGGATGAATAGCCTACTTAGTGGGCCACAGGAGTATGAGGTGTGATCCGCAAAAGTGAAAATGGTCTTTAACTAGAAACTTCTCATTAACCCCAAATCAATAAAGAATAAATCTAGGCCTCCCACTGGTGGGTCATAGAATAATCCCAAAATTCCTGAAATAGAATTGTGGTGGGCTTAGGAAACAGTGTTGAGAAAGACCAAGCACGGGTTTGGGGATGGATTTTGTAAGAAAGAACAGATAAGCAAGTTTCCAGCTAGATTATAAATAAAACTAGAATCTAAAAATCTTTGGGAGACTGCCAGATCTGATGTTCCAGTTGTAAACTAGACATATGAATGCATTTCATTCATGCATACATTTTGGTGTATAGCTTCCCATAATAGCTGAACTCCATGATAAATTCCAATTTTGTCTAGGTTAAGTCAGGGAGGAGAAGAAGTCTTTCTTAGGTTAGGAAAACTTTCCTTGCACAATGGAGATAGGTTATTGGGAGAGGGACAATGCATACAACAGACTCCCAGTGACTGAGTGGGTAGCTATGGGGTTGGTAAGTCAGACTTGAGACCTAGGCATGTCCAGGATATATAGAGGATGGGTACTCAAGAAGCATCTTCTTCCTTCACTTTAGTGAGTGGAAGCAGAGTTTCCACTTTTAACATGTGTCTCTCAGAGCGACAGAAGGATACCAAGAGACAATGCTGTGAATATGGTTTTCTGTAATAACATAAAGAACAGCTGACAGAGACAAGCAAACATGTGGAGACTAAGGTAGTGCAGAATGTTTCAACCAGAGTCTGGGCTGTGATTCTAGTTGGATCACCTCTTCTGATCTTGTCTCTCCACTCTCAATTGGCAATCCCATTTATGTGCATGGCTTCCAAAACCATCCGTGTGTCAATAATTCTTGAATTTCTATCTTTGTTCCAGACCTTTCAAATGAACTTCAGAATCATAGAGCCAAATCCCTACTCATTCTCTCCACTGAGTTCACACACACACACACACACACACACACACACACACAACACAACAACACAACACAACCAACTCAGAACTCAGGACAAAGAATACTCTTGGCAATCAGACAGAATCAGATTTTTGAGTTAGGGCACTATCATTTATTGTCATCAGTTTCCTTAGGTAAGCCACCTAGTTTTTCCAAATGTAAAATCAGTGTTTTGGTAAGAATCCAATTAGATAATATTGTAAAGTGCAATGCTATCTCATGCCTGGCATATGTAAATCACATATTTCTACATATTGGATGCTTGTTGACTAATGAGTGGATGGGTGGGTGGGTGGATGGATGGATGGATGGATGGATGGATGGATGGATGGATGGAGGGACGGATAGAAATGGAGATTCCGTGAGCCATAATTACGAAGGTCACACATGATCATAGTGGACAGATAAAGATATGCAATAAAAGAAGCATGGAAAAAACAAAGAGCACTTCTGTTTACTAGATGAAGACCTGGAATGCTGAATGGAATGGAGGAGATTCTATAAAGAACAGAAAAGAATGCAACGCCTTTTGGACAACACAGTTTTCTAAAGCTGCTAAGATCTGATTGTGACACTTCATTCAGTTCATTAGCTGGGGAAAGGCTGGCCACTGCTGGATGAGTTGTGAGACTGACCAAGAATTGTTAAAATGGCAGGTGGCAAGTATGGAGAGGGTATAAGGCCAATGTATTAGTCTTTGCCCAAGATACCTGCCATCTGTGAACATATTCTACATCAATAGCAGATGTAAATGGCAAATGTGGCCTTTAGCTGAGAGAAAAATCTAAGATACAACTGCAACATCAGACCTGGAAGTCCCCCAAAGTCAAAACTTTGAACATATCACCAAGATTAAAACTTTTAAATAAAATTTTCCCTAAAGTGTTTCACTATAAAGAATCTTTACGTCTGAGGTAAATGGTGCTTCAAGGATTTAGTCATCTCTAAAAAGCAGTGAAGAAAGGAAATTTTTTAGAGTGAAAAACTTGCCTTGTCTTGATTGTAGTGGTGGTTTATACAATTGTATATGATTATAAAACTTCACCAAAATGTGTCCCTAAAATAAATAAATCTTATTGCATGTAATACCTCAAAAGCAGGAGAAAAGTGGAAGAATCCAGAAGTAAATCAAATATTTACCTACCCCAATGACTAGCCAGACAGTAACTCAGTAAGAATAAAGATTTTGGGTTCTTGTAACAGAAGACTGGGTGAGGTGAGAGGTGGGGAATGATAATGGAAGAAGCTGACTTACTTTGAGATAAACATATTAGAAAAAGAAAATTCTAGTAGTCACAATTAGCTGTAATAGGTCTAAAAGAATGAACTGGCTGGAGACATGGGATAATAGCCAACACCCTGTGGGATCCCAACAAGCTGTGGGATTTCTTGTTTCCTACAGTTAAGATCAGACCCTCTAACAGAATCATATTTATTCACATAAGAAAATAAAATGGAAATTTGGGGGAAAATTTGCTAGAGCTAAGGAGCAGGCTCTGAGTCTCAGAGAGAGACCCTTTAAAGGGCCAGAGGCAGGAATTATACCTCCTCCCATGAATGAGGAAAACTACCTCAATTCCAGAAGAAATATAGCCCCTTGAGGCAAGAAGATATGGAAGCATCAGCCAAATATGTGTGTACTCTGGTAAAATCAGACAGCAGACATATTTGGGCTCAGTGTGTCTCTGAACCACTATTTCCTGCATAGCCAGTGAAGCCCTGAAAACAGCTGCTTCCCCGGAATTGATGGTAGGCATGGTACGGAGCAGGGTCTCAGGCACCAGAGAGGGTCTGAGTAGCCACAGAGTGGAGCAAGGTCAATGGTAGTGGGAGAGTCTACAGAGAGAAGCCAGTGTCATTTGGACACAGGAGATCACCCCCGGAAAGGGAAAGGAGAGGGATGAAATGGAGACAATGTGGAAAAACTTACGACTCCACACAGCAGGTATCACTTATTGAGTTCATCCTAGTCAGGATCAAGATTAGACAGTGATTCATGTAAACGAAAAAAACAAGAATCTAAAATGTAGATCAAACTGCAATTCATGTATTTGGAATGAGAATACCGTTTGCTAAGTGAACAGAATACTGGAATACAATATTTAGAGCTCTCCCAGGCAGCAGAAAACTTGGAAGCAAAATTCCTCACCACAGCATTGCTTTGATGAGCATAGTGGGAAGTGGGTGGCCTTGAAGGGTGGCTCCTAGAGGCCACAGGAAATCCTGATGTACTACACCTGTCCCACATGAGTTCAACTCCCCAGGGGCCTGAATGCTCATTTCCTTCACACTCAGACTCTGTGTCCTCTGGGTGTGTGAGATGAACGATGACCAGTTTTGGTCCTTTGGTATCCTTGTTTCAGCTTCATGAAGACCCACTTGTTAAATGTGCCACATACTATACTAACCACTGCAGACATTACCTCATTAATCAGCACACAACTCCAATGACTTACCAGTTATCTCCATTTCAATGATGAAGAAACTGATTTCCATAGAGGATACGTGGTTCACAAAGTCATCTGAGGCAGGGATTTAAATCCAGTTCTGTATTCCTGAGATCACGCTCTTCAGCACCATGCTGTGGTCTCTTCAGGAAGGAACTGATTGATTTCATCAGGTTTTACTGTTAAGTTAATCACATTCAAGGCCAGCCCTTCCAAAGCCTCCCTTCCATTACTAGCCCCATATCACTCAGCTGTCCATTTACAAAATGTCTTTCTGGTTTCTTCTAAAAAATGAAGAATCATGTGCGTCATATACAGGTTTTGCTACTTTAACTCTCAGAGGAGAATCATACTTTTAAGATTTGGTAGGGAAATTTGAGGAATATTAAGAAAACGTTGTCCTGTGTGACCAGCAAAAATGTCTTTTGATTCAAGGACACAGAGGTTAAGATGAGAGCGGTTTCCTGCAGACAATCAGTAAAGCCCATGGAGCAGGCTTCATGACCCCTACTTTGAAATGCTCTGCTCTTTGCAACTGAGACTGAACATGAAGCTTTTACTGGATCTAATGCATTCTTCTTGGGTAGGGATGACAACATCTAGCTGGGCAGAGCAGATGCACAAGGACATAACATGCCTGTTTCTGGATCTAAGGAGCATACAGAATTGGATAAGAGTGAACTGCAACAGGATTAACGACAGCAACAGGATTACACACTCTAGCCCTAGGGAGGCAAAAAGACAGAAAGAAAAAGTTTAATCTTTCCTAGTATCAATAATACCTCCTCTTCACGTTCACAGGTTGTAACCAACTCCTATCTGCCATGTTCTATTATCACTCCTTCATCAGCTCTTCACCTTGCAAAAGTCTATCTGATTATTTTAATTCAGTTTGTAATCATTCAAAAATTGTTTACCTACTATCTTCCAGATTCTAAGGAAACATGTGAACAAACATGTAACTTACCTGTGTTCATTGTTGTTATATTCCCCCAATTACTTTGTCCTTTTGTTCCTTTATGATTGTTTCATGGAGCTTGGGTAACTGGAGAGAGAAATGTGTCATCAACTAACCATATATATTCAGAAGTTCTATGATCAGGCTAAGGGTTTACTTATCTCTCTTGGATACAGGAATATCTGAGAGTACAATGGGGTTACATGAATAAAAATGTCAGCCTAACATTCCCAAACTAATGGACTAGAAGCAAGGCCTAATGGGACTTTAAAAGATATGGTTATGGTTTATACAAACCCTTCCCAGTAGAAGTAGCCTATAATATTCTCACTCTACTTTTTAGTCATGAGAAACATTTCAACCTTACTCAGGGTTGTCTCCCATTGATTTCATATTTGAGGAGTTGCCCAAAAGTTCTCTTCCCTTTGCAGAAAAGCATCCCCATTGCCTATAAAGTCCAAATTCTTCAGCATGGTATCCTAAGCCCTTCCTGATTTTTCTGCCAACAATATTTTAGCCAGTCTCCTGGAACATCCCCCCAGTCATTGACATCACATTTCACTGCTTCTCCCACACCAAACATTATATTATATTTATGCCTGCTCATGCTGTTTCCTCAACCTGAAATATACTCCACTCCCTTATCTTATATAGTCCCACGAATAAGCTCATTGTTATTTCCTCTCTGTAGCCTTCCTTGATCCTTGGTCAAAAGCATTTCTTCTTTCTGATGTATGCCTACAACACCTCTTCGCACTTCTGTTTAGGACGTTATCTTGGCTTGCCTTGTAGTTGACTACTAACATCTGTTTCTCATTCCATTATTTGAAAGCTTCTTGAAGGCAGATAGGAATATAATATGTAAGGTAGGCATTAAATAGATGTTTATTTGTTTAAATAAGTTTCTTAAAGAGATAAACATATTTGTCATGGAAAATGGATTAATTATAAAGTCAAAGTTGGAAAATACAGAGAGTTGATAGTGGAGAAGTTCACTCTACCCAGGAACCAGTGACACCAAATTGTGCAGCAAAATTGTTGGACTTCAATAATCTGACAAATGCCCTCCCTCAGCTTTGTGTGCCTGGTGAGAATTCTCTCCTTTGAAGCATCACTTCTTCTGGTGATAACCCAGAGCAGACATAGCTGTCCCTACCTTACACTCCCAAAACATTTTGAACAAAATTATATTTGATAAACACTCATGCTGTGTTGTAATGCCTTCTTTGCCTCTATCACTGGAATATGAGCTTTATTTTTTTCTAATAGGATTTCATATGCACAGAATTGGATTAATTATAATTTCTGGTTTATCACTAGACTCTGTGTAGTCCCACCTTTCAATGTTTTTGTTGTTAAATAAAGTCTTATGTGGCTAGTAATGTGCTAGGGTCTGGGAATCTGAAGAGAATAAAACACATTCCCTGTCCTCAATGAGTTTAGTTAATGCCTTCTCTTCTTTGTATCTTCAGCCTTTAGCTTAATGCCTGGCACATGGTACATGCCCCCTATAACATATGTTTCCTCTGCCTGATTCTTGAATTTAGAGAGCCCCTGAGTTTAGTTTTTATAATGCTTATCTTCCCTATCAACATACTCCTGAAATTCTCATCTAGCCCTAAAGCTATAAGTACTATCCCAAACACATATTCTCAGTTTCAGTCTACACCATAAACTTAACTTATACATCCAACTTCCTCCGTGAAATCTCCACCAGGATATCTCATAGGCATCTCACACTTAAAGGGTCTAAAACAGAGTTCTTGACCCAGTCCCAGTCTGCCTGCCACCAAACCTGCTTCTCCTCCATGGTCTCCTGTTTTGTAGATTTAGCTCAAGCTAAGTTCCCTGCATTCATCCTTGGCTCTTTTTTTGTCTAACATCCCCACAGTTAATTCATCAGAAATATTGTTGGTTTTACCCCATAAAATATTTGTTTGCTCATTGTTGAGTCTTCCACTAGGGATAAGTTTAGTGAGGCTAGACATTTTGTCCATTTTGTTAATTCAAGTACCCCTAGCACTTAGCATATGGCAGGAACTCAATAAACATTGGTTGAATAAAATTTAAACAAATATTTGTGAAAGAAAGAACAAATAAGTACATGGGATCTCAGACCTGCCCTCTAGATAAATAAATTTAGGGAACAGCAGTTACCATGTTTTTCATTTGGAATGAGCCAACAATCTTGTTTTCGGTTAATACTTTAGAACGCAGAAATCAAACATGGAATACTTCTATAATAAAAAAGAAAAATTGTTTTTAAATTTGTCCATCTCATAAAAAAGTAAGCTATGTCAGAAGCGTTTTGTCCAGAAGATAGAAGATGTCATAAATGGATAAAACTTCTCTGACTAAATATTCTAATCAAATACTGGCTTCTGCTATAAAATAAAATACTACTCATTCCAACAAAACCTGTCTTTATTTTTTTTTTCAGGGAAAGGGAGAAAAGAAAAACACAAAAATTGGAACCCACAGCTATATCTACGTGTCTCCTGTTTCATGCAAGTGGTAAGAAATGAAAGAATATTAAAAGAGAGACTGAGGAGCTAGAAGTAATTATTGAGTGTCTCCAGTAGGATGTGAATCAAAATTTTGCTATGTGTGGTTTGCAAAAAGATTAAATGATAGCATTAAAGCTTGTGTATACCCAACTGCCCCAGATGGAAGACCTACTATAGCTGCTGTAATCTGTCCAGGTTATTTCAACTCTTGATCCAGGGAAGAGTTCCTGATAAATAAAGTTAGTCCCAGAAGCTTATTCAAGATAATGTTTTCATAACCCTACAGTGCTTGTATAAATCCACTGTTCACCCCACTTCACCAAAAAAAAAAAAAAGGTTGCAGCCTCTTTCCAGCACTTGTAATCTTTTGAGAGAAATAGACGAATCATAATTGCACATATAGATAACATTGCCATTTTAAGTCTCTATATGGAATAACATCAGAGACATTTATGGTCTCCCTCAGAGGGATTCAAGAAGCAGGTTTAACAATAAATGTCAGCTCCTGTTACCTAGAGTGCCATACACAGATCACATGGTGAGGAGTAGAAAGGTAACACATTTCTAGAATAAAATGAATTCTGCACACAGATGGAAGGTTCCAAAACCAAGATAAAAATCTAAGAGTTCAACAGGTTTTTTGGGCATTATTTTATACTGTAGTCCTTACCTTTAAATGCAAAATAAATAATTCTATCTGAACTGCTGAAGCCTAGTGGAATATAACCAATTGAATTCTCATTTTCCAGGAGACATAGTCTCTCTGGTGCCTGCGACTATTCGTGTTAGTCCAAGTTCTTTGATAAACAGACACCAAGCTGAGATTAAACATGGTGAAATACTTTTATGGAGAATATACCTGTAAGAGAAAATAAGAAGGGAGCTGGGGAGACGCGAAGAGCCATCAGACTACCATGCAAGTCTGAGACTTCCAAAGAAAAAAGACAGGAAGAAAGATTGGGTAGAATTGTCTTAGATCACCATGAAGACTCAGGACAGTACAGCAGGGCCATAGGGCAATTATCAAGATGAAATCTAAAGAATCCGGTATTTCCTAGAGTTTGGTTTGCCTTAGTATCCCTGCCAACCTCAGTCACTGTCCGGGAGCCACCTCTGGGAGGTGTGACCTTGGCATAAGCACAGTAATGCAGCTCAGAGCCCAGCAGCTGGGACTCTTGGTTAACTATGCCCCCCAGGAGTTAGAGGTTTGCATGGGGCATTCTCACAGCTACTATACTAAGGTGCTGGGATAGCATCAGTGCAAGACAGTAAAGAGAATATTTCCTAAGTATGGAATGAATGTTAATTCCCTCTTTCTGAGCAAGGAATTAAAGCTCCCAAAGAGCTAATTAATGATAGTTCAGAAAAAAAGACTGTCTGCTAACTTCCGGCCCTAAAAGATCTGTGTTTCTCTCCAGTGTTAATTCATCCCAGAGCACTTAACAGAGTTAAGCAGCATGAAACCCTTGAACTCTAAGCACCATCAATGAGCCTTAGAGCTGGATTCTTGAGTAAGTTATCATCAAATTCTCAATTATGACGGCAAATGCATTTCTCAGAGAGTTTTTGGATTAATTTATAAACCTTAAGGCTAAATGGAATGAAATATACCTTATTTCAAAGGCTGGAAGAACTTACGAGGTTCTGGTTGTTTGAATGCCCTACCAATGAGAGATATACACAGGGCTCCCCACGTGCCTTGCTTCCGGAATGGGAAAAGCCACTTGAAGCATGGGAAGAATAATCCGCAAGAATCTAGAAAGGGTTCTTTCAACGTAAAGTTCCCTAGATTAAAGTGGAGGAGAGGCAGGGAAGTTACCTGCATGTTCCATAAACAGTGCTAGTCTGTAAGACCTTTGGCAAGATGGCAAACCAGGGAGCAGAAATCTGCACATGATCATTTTATTCCAAGTAGATGTTTGAAGGGGAGAGAGAGAAAAAGAGACAGAGAGAGAATGTGTGTGTATTTCAGTGGGGCAGAGAGTACTTCTCCTTTTACTTCCTAGGACAAGTTCTAAGAGGAAAAGGATTTGCCAAGGACATCTAGGCCTCTGCCTAGATGACCTCCAGACGCCAGCTTCAGGCTGCAAGGCCAGGGGAGGGCCAGTGAAACTGAGAAATCAAGGGACTTGTTTCTTGAATTCTCGATTTCTTGAATGAGGGCCAAGTGCCAGATTTTGTTTTTGTTTCCCTGGACCTTTCTTCACCTGTCTGGGAAGAAAAGTTGGGCACGGAGGAAGAGCCCAAAACAAGGAGAAGACATTGCAGTCTCTCCACCCACGACCAATCCGGGAATGGTATTTCTTTGCTCCTCCTCCTCTAGGGTCTAAATCCCACCCAGAGGTCTGGCTGCCATTTCCTAGATTGGTTCTGCCCAGAGTGCAAAAGGGTTCCAGAAGGCGGGAGCCAAGGGAAAACCTAAAAAAAGTAAACAAAACAGAGAATCTACAGCCACCTCAGATGACAGCAAAGGATAAAAGAAGGCAAAGTGATCCCTGCTCACAGAGGAGAGGAAGGAGGGAGGCAGCAAATATATCACCCGCTATTGCTGAAAGGCTTACAAAAATCCGGTTATATTTTTTAATCATCTTGCATTTTAGATCTTTAAAGTACAAATATGGATTTCAAACATACCAAGGGAACAAATTAACTTAGAAAAATGGTAATGCTTTCCAAGGTTGCACCTGCCATGAAATTGCTCCAAGTTTGCATTTTCCCCAGGTCTCCAGTGTGTCATTAGGCCAGATTGATTGCGCTCCTCCCCCGAACAGCTCCCCCATTACAGGGTTATTGTATGGAAATTAGTGGAAGATTGGGAACATTTTTTTGCAGCTGCAGTGGCTGGAGTCAGTTTTGATTAAGTGATAGAAACCTGGTGCAGACGGGGAGATCTCTTTGCTTTAGCTGCCTCCTTTATTATCACTCAAGTGCAGCTTCTCCCTGTGTGGATCTTTTGCTGCTTTTTAGACAGTGCTGTTTACACTGAGTCATCTTTGTGTTTTTTTAATGTTTCCCAACTCAATTTCCCCATTAGTATTCTAATTTGATGTGAAACTTAAAACCAGTCTATTCATTCCTCATTTTCTATTTCCCTGTCTACACCCCTATCCCCACACCCCTGCTCCATCCCGACTTTTTGGAGATGCAACAATAAAGTGGTGATAGTCCTCATCCTCCATCCTTCTATCCTACTTATCCCCTAAGATAAACTATTGAAGGGGCCTAAACCAGCAATCAGAGCCATGGTGGCCCCAGGGGATTTCAAGGTGCAAATTAAGCCTTGGACTGGCTGCTCCAAGAACTGACAAGTGAGGGCTGACAGTTTTCCTCTCCTCGGGTTCTGTCAGGAGCTTGCAAATGTCCCAGAAAAACTGGGGCTCTGGCAGATTAGGAGTTGATCTGCTTGTCATGCAGGGTCAACATCAGACTACAGCAATTGAGGGCAACAAGACACGATGGAACAGAAAAATAAAGGACAGTTTAGGTGCAAATTGCCTGCAGTAAGTTGGAAGGGGGAGAGCGGCTGGGGGCGGGGGAGCACATAACCTCATATAGGCCTTTCCTATCTATACACTGGAGATCTCTCTTTCTGTGCTCTATTCTTTTCTACATTCATTCAAGCCTTCATTCATTTTCTCTTCCAGTATGTACTGAGTACCTCTCCTAGGTACTGTAATAGATGCTGAAACTGAAGAAAAAAGTGAACGAGAATAGTCTCCCAGTTCCATTGGAGAAGGTAGGCATATTAACAAAAAGTTACAATATAATTTGTACAGCAGGGGCAAGTGTTCTAGCAGAAATTTACTAAAAATTATTTGCAAGAACAGCAGAGGAAACCACAAAATCTGCCTTAATCAGGAAGTGTGCAGAAGGGCAGCTACCAGAGGAGGCTTTTAAGTGAGGTGACATTGGAACTGGTTCTTGGGCATCCCCCTGCCAGAGCATGGTGGAGGAGACAGATTTCAGTGAGAGGGACCAGCAACAAGCTCAGGTAGAAAAGAGAAGAGCACATCCACAGGGAAACGTGTGGTTTCTAGGGGCTGGAGCAGACATTCGGGGCAAAAAGTAATGGGAGATGAGCCTGGAAAAGCATGTTGAAATCAGATGATGAATACAGTAATAGGCATGCTGGGGAACCAAGACTGTATCAATGATAGAAACCAGGAGTCTCTGGAGGTTTTTAAGCAAAGGGTTTTTTTGTTTTGTTTTGTTTTGTTTTAATGCCTTTTTAGAAATTACACACTGAAAACAGTGTGGAGGGTAGCAGATTGATGTGGGGAGACTTCAGAGGATGAGACCACCATTATGGACATTACAATCATCCAGGTGAAAGCCCATGAAGCCTCTAACTCATCCATCTACCCAAACGCCTGTGTTAGGGCTTTTCGCCTGTCAAAAAACGATCCCAATATCCTCTCAGAGCTCATATGCCAAGGACACTTTTTTTAAAGTTAACTTTAAAATATTGCCATCTAGCAGTTTAGTAAGTTCCCTGACACATTGAATAACATCTCCTCTCTCCAGCAAGTGAGGATGGGGTCAATCTAAAATAGATATTTGCCAGTGGTCAAGACTGGATGCCTGGACTTGATTGATGTTTCCAGGACAGCCACTGAGTGGGTTGCACAGCCCACACCATTGACCTCATGAATCTTTTCCTTAATCCAGAGAGAAAATTAGCTCCTGCCTTTGAAGAATGACATCTGCCCCTGAAGCTATATTCCCTCTGCTGAACAAGAGCAGTCCTGATCTTTCTTCCCAAAACTCAGTCTGAGAGGCAGCTCCCTTTGGGGACTGAGATGATACCTGCCATTTCCAAATCTGTCCCGCGTCCCTCCAAGTGCCAATCCACATCTCTCCTCTATCCTCATGTCCTGTCCAAGGCTCCCACCTTTCACATTCTCCATACCTAGGATAAGCTGCTGCTGCTGAGAGCACCTGCTGTTATCAGAGAAAAGCAAGAGGCAATTGTCCATTACTATCTCAAATGCCTCCTGCTTAAATCAGTGTGGGGATTACCGTTGGACAGCTCAAAAATGATATACTGGGAGCCAATTTCTCTTTCCCCCATGGTCAGTCACCTTCCACCTGGCAGAGTAATCCTCAAAGCTCATTTAGGAATCCAGCTCATCTTGGTCCCTTTAATAGCCTTAAAGGGACAAGCTGATTCCCCAGGGTTGGTAATTTACTATCCTGATATCATCCTCTTGGGAGAAAAAGAGGGAGGCTCCAGCTAAAGGCTCCCTCCTCCTGAGATCTTGGGCTACATTCCTGCCTCTCCCCTTTCTTTTTTTCTTTTCATCTACCCCTCCCACAAACAGTGAAGTACAAAGACAGTGAAAAGTCTTGTGAATCTCTAACCAGTAGGCATTGTTGCAAGAGGAAAGTTGTGATTATTTCAGCTCCTAAAGTGCTTGGGGCACTTACACTGTTTTTCGTTGCTCTAAACTGTCTGCCTGCTATTTGGAAAGGGTAGGGTGATGCCAGGTCATGATATTTCACTTGTTGGAGAAGATAGTTCTCATGTAAAAAACACTATAATCACATCAGTTTGATAAAATGCTTCACAATTGAAGACTCCATCCCCATTTCCACTTGGAATATTTAACTTCTACAATATTCCAGTTTAGGAAAAGCATCATGGATTCAGGGTAACCTGATTTTAGGATTTCAAGACAGCAAAAGAGTAATCTCAAATGTGTCTTCAACCCAAGGTGTCATTAACATGGCTCACCTTATTTGGTCAGTGCCCCTCTGGGCATAATTCTGAAGGCAAGGACTCAGGAACGTACTTACGGAGCCTTCCATTGGTTGCCAAAAGTAGATGACCTAAACATCTATACACATCTATGTAAACAGCAAGCACAAACAGCCCATTTGAAAAACACGTGGAGACACTGATAACAAGGACACAGGTAGACCAGGAAACAGACAGAAGCCAATGGATTGCCAAGTGGACAAAGGATAGCAGTCACCAGGAAGATTCTACACCAAAAAGCTTAGGCCAAGATAGAAGGGTGCTAGATCAGATCAGTGTGTAGACAAAGCATTCTCAGTCCTTTCTTCTATGATTGAGCAACCCTAGAGAACTCTTAAAGGATAAACGTCCATTAGAAAATTCCTACCTAGTCACCCACTTTCATGTTCTACCAGTCCAGACTCAATTAGATACAGAGACACTAAGTACCACAAAGCCTCCTCTGAGCAAGAAGACCCCTTCAAGATCCTCAAGATCCACCTTTAAGAAATGCTTAAAGGTAGAGGGGCATAGACTTACTTGAAAATCTGTGGGGATGAGAGAAGAGGGAAGCTATAGACTCTCCCTTTCAAAAAATCTCACATATACAGAATCTTTATTTATAATTTCACAAAGCTCGGTCAGGTGTGGTGGCCTATGCCTGTAATCTCAGCACTTTGGAAGGCTGAGACGGGTGGATCCCTTGAGGCCAGGAGTTCAAGACCAGCCTAGCCAACATGGCGAAACCCTGTCTCTATGAATAATATAAAAATTAGCGTGGTGGTGTGTGCCTGTAATCACAGCTACTTGGGAGGCTGAGGCATGAGAATAGCTTGAGTCAGGGAGGCAAAAGTTGCAATAAGCTGAGATTGCGCCACTGCACTCCAGCCTGGGTGACAGCGTGAAACCGTGTCTCAAAAAAAAAAAAAAAAAAAAAAAACTCATGAGATCCCCGAAGCCTCATGACACACAGCCAAATAAGAAATCTCTAATGTAAGCTCCAGCAACAATGCCTAGCAGAGAAATGAATCAATTTATGCATTCATTCCACAAAGTTATATTAAATGTGTACAAAGTGCCTAGACCTATGCTAGAGGACATGGGAGAATATAAAGGAAAAAAAAAAGACACTTTTCGTCCCCCAAGAAAGTTCAGTGAGGTATGAAAGCGCTAAGAGGGACTGCTGGCTAAATGACTTAGTGGGGGCTGGTGACTTCCCTTTCCCCAGAGTTCATTTCCACTGACTGATTCCTGTGGGAATGGGGACCTCCCTATGGAAAAAAACCTCAATTCTCAGTATGGGGAATTCAGAAACAAATAGGGTTTTCTGAAAAACTGGGATAAGTTTGAGAAAGATCCTGATGAAGGCCAAACTACAATGGAGGTGTGTGAGATCCACCTCTGGAAAGCAGTCTACTCTGAGAGAAGAAAGAACCTGCCTAGCATGATGAGGTGGGCTTAGCAGCATAGCACAGGGAGTGGGGAAGAGAACTGGTTCCACTACAGCAGGGAGCGACTGAATGCAGCCTCCTACAAGCACATATTTTTTCCAAGAAAACAAAAGCTTGTCTATAAGCATTAACAAATCTTTAATTTTAGAGGCCCAAGCAACACTGCTCTGGAGACCCTCCAAAAAAGTACAACACAGAGAAAAAGTAGTTATTCACCTTCCAGAAAGTGAGGTGACAACTGGAGACCTGGTAAAAGAAGGACTATCAGTTAACAGCTCAGGGGGAGCAGCAGTGGGTAGAGCTGTAGTGTGAGTGAATGGTGCCAACCCAAGTAGAACAACGAAACATGCAGCTCCCAGAGGAAACATTAGTGGTCAAAGAGTGGAATGCATCAGCTTTATAGGCTGCATCCCAAGAAGAATGACGTGACTGTGGCTTGATACAGAAGCACAGGTAGTTAGCACTAAGCTGATTGGAGAAAGGAGGAAGATGGCAAGTGGGAAATGCTCCAATCATGGCAGCTGTGGAGAGACTTATGGAGCTATGGCTAGGCAGAAAGTGAGGGCAGCGGCATGGGAAGTGGCTCCAATTTCTACCGGCACAAGAGACCTTTGAGCAGAGATTCCTGGCATCCAGTAATGTTGCAGGTACAGGCCCCCAAGCTAGGTATCAATATTAGTGCCATCTCATTTGCCAAACAGACTGATGAGCCCCGCAAGCATTTAGATGACACAGACACAACATCATGGCTGATGTTCAAAATTTCTAAGAAACCCGTATGACATAGGCATCAGCTGGTAAGAAGAAACACCAGCCAAGGACTAGAGCTGGGTAATGCAGACGCCTTACCGCACCAGGTGTTAACCCTTAATCGTTAGATCACAAGATCTAGAGAGGTGCCAGAGAAGGTGCCAGGACAGCCTGGATGATGGTTGGGCAATTTAATTAGGGATTTAGAGTAACAGTTATTTACTAACCACCAAAGAATTATTTTGATATTTTAACAAGCTATACAACCATGTAGGACGATACCAGCGGAATATCAACCCTAGACAAAGTTAAGCAAGAATACAGAGCACTACTTGAGTAAATGTCACTTGAGAGGCATTGTCAATGCTAGAGGATGTCATCAGGAAGAAATAGCCCCATTGGCTGAAGAGGAAGACTAAAGGCAGGCTGTTTGCTAAACAGGAACTTTCATTCTAGAAATCAGAGAGCTGGGTTCTGATCCTGACCCAGCCTCTTCCTAGTCCTGCAACTTCAGACATCACTGTTCAAATGTGAGAAGACTTATAGGGAACAAACACCATGGCAAAGCAGGCATGGATCAGACCATGGAAGGCTGTGAGTGCCAGGCAAAGGGGCGTAAACTATAAAGCCATGCTGTGGAAGAAGACAATATTGCCCAGGGGTGTGGGATAAGAATGAAGGCTTCAAGTTCCTCAGTAACATATTTCCTGAGCAGGTGTTTGGCTAGAGATCTGAATATTGTTATTGTCATGTGGCCAAAAAGAAAATGTCAACAGCAACATTTAATAGATTTGGTAGGAATAATATAAGAAATCTACGCACAAGGAGAACTAGCAATGATTTGAGCCCTGTCCAAGTGACTGCCACCAGCCATTATGCAGAAAAAGAACACAAGGAAGGAAAAATAACAAGGCATCATAGGAACACAACTCAAAGGACGGCAATCAATGGGCTTATGTGCAGCCTGGGAAATGAACAGAGAGCAGGAGAGAAAAAAAAGAATGGCCAGATTCCTACAAAGCCACTGCTGCCACAGTTCAAAAGACTGCTGGGCAGATGATAACCACTCATTTTAGAATTGGATCTGAGCAGGAAGTGGCAAAGCATACTTAATGTCCTGGAACTTGCCTCCTCTTCTCTGAAGGCTAGAAGGAAAAGAGGTGATGTAGATAGCGCCACACGGCATGAATATTGTAAATGACAAGGGGGTGAAGCTCAGATCTGCATGTTGCCATGCCTATGCAGACCTGCCACTGGGGCCCCTGATGTGAATGATCCCTTCAAAGGTGCCTTCTTCTTTGCCACCTGTCCCCCAGTACTGTGACATCCAGTGACTTGCTGGAGTGCAGTGGCACAATCTTGGCTCACTGCAACCTCCACCTCCCTGGTTCAAGCAATTCCCCTGCCTCAGCCTCAGAAGCCCTAGGATTACAGGTGCATGCCACTATGCTTGGCTAATTTTTTTGTATTTTTAGTAGAGATGGGGTTTCACCATGTTGGCCAGACTGGTCTCAAACTCCTGACCTCAGGCAATACGCCCTCCTCGGCCTCCCAAAGTGCTGGGGTTATAGGCATGAGCCATTGCGCCCAGCCTGGAAACTGCATTCTAACGCTTATCTGAATACCTAAACACTGTCTTGTATCGCTTTGGAGTTTTATTTGTTAATTTAATTACTCTACTAAACTCTAAATTCCACAACGGCATTGGGTGTGACTTGCACTATTTTGTTGTTGATATTGTTGTTTTTGTTTTAAACAACACACAATGCTTTGTATTCTGCTGGAAATATATTGGGAGGTATTTAACGAGTAATTATTGAAATGTATTTAAGTGAAATCATTCATTCAACAAGAATTTACTGAATGCATGCTATGATCCAGTTGCTAGATCAAAGCAAGGGAGAAAGTAGACTCAAGCATAGTGTAGGTACTCAGTAAATATGTGCTCCGATACTGTGAAGCACAAAGTGCCAAGAAGTCTATGGAACTTCTTTTCTTTCTTTCTTTTCTTTTTTTTTTTTTTTGAGACAGGATATTGCTCTGTCACCCAGGTTGGAGTGTAGTGGCATAATCATAGCTCACTGTTGCCTCAAACTCCTGGGCTAAATAGATCCTCTCACCTCGGCTTCCCAAGTAGCTAGGAATACAGGCATATATCACTACATCTGGCTACTTTTTAAATTTTTTTGTAGAGATGGAGTCTTGCTATGGTTTCCAGGCCAATCTTGAACTCCTGGCCTCAAGTGAGCCTCACACCTTGGCACCCCAAAGTGCTGGGATTAGAGGCATGAGCCAACACACCTGGCCTGTGGGACTTCTTAACCTAGATTTCTCTGAAGAGGAGAAGCATCAGAAAGCAGTAAACTTTTTAAGTTGCCATCACAAGATGTGTTGCCCCAGCAGGCAATGATACTAGAAACTATCACATCACTAGGGGAAGCATTCAAGACCACTTCAACAGAATTTGTTGTCCACCATACCAGCACCAAACCCATTTTGCTTCACATTTTGGCTTTCTCTGGCCTGCCCAGAAGTCTCTAGAGAGATTCAGGAAAATATTGCATCTACAAAACAAGAACAAGATGCTATAAAAAAAGGATTAAGAAATTAGAAATTAAGGGGTTGGACAGTCTCAAAAAATGTATAAATAAAAAATTAAAAAGAGCTGGAAAAAATAAGAGACATAGCCATTCAATCCAGGAGATCCAGCATTGACT
The DNA here is from genome assembly GCF_000001405.40 of Homo sapiens. Taxonomy (NCBI): domain Eukaryota; kingdom Metazoa; phylum Chordata; class Mammalia; order Primates; family Hominidae; genus Homo; species Homo sapiens. Next base: position 209,311,153 of record NC_000001.11, read on the forward strand.
AAGAGCAGTTCCAGAAAGTTGGAGCAGAGAAACAGAGAAGAGGGGACTATCAAAAAAATAACAGGAGACAATTTCCCAGAATTGAACGTAGACATTAGATTCAAAATGTAAGTACCAACAAAATTCTAATTAGTGTAAATGAAAGACACATGCACAGGTATGTTCATTGCAGCACTATTCACAATAGCAAAGACATTGAATCAATATAAATGCCTATCGACGATAGACTGGATAAAGAAAATCTGGTACATGTACACCATGAAATGCTATGCAGCCATAAAAAGAAAGAGAACACATACTTTGCAGGGCATGGATGGAACTGGAGACCATTATCCTTAATAAACTAACACAGGAACAGAAAACCAAATACCATATGTTCTCACTTATAAGCGGTAGCTAAATGATGAGAACACGTGGACACATACAAGGGAACAACACACACTGGGACTTTTTGGAGGGTGGAGATTGGGAGGAGGGAGAGGATCAGGAAAAATAACTAATGGGTACTGGGCTTAATACCTGGGCGACAAAATAATATGCACAACAAAACCCCATGATACAAGTTTACCTATGTAACCAACCTGCCTAAGTACCCCTGAACTTAAAATAAAAGAAAAAGAAAGACCCACCCCTAGACAGATCTTTTTGAAATTTCAGAATACTAAGACTAAAGCAATAATAAAGTCTTCCCACAAGGGTGGGGAAGCAAAATAAAATAGGCCATTGATCAAACAAGAATCAGACTGATGTCAAATGTCAAATTGCTCATCAGCAACACTGAATGCTAAAAGACAACTGAGTGACATTTTACATTACCCACTTAATTTTGCTGTCACGCCAAATCTGTGAGATAGCTACTCTATTGATGTGTCCTTCCATGTCGAGGGAACTCCACATGGGTAACGTTCCTGAACTCTCTCCATCTCTTCTCAGGGAGGAGTGACTTAATGCAATTTGTGAGTTGGATTACACATGAACTGCACATGTGGAGATCCAACTCCTTCTTCCTTTCCCCTTTTCTTAGGAACAAGTTTCCCATGGGAAGCATAATTGTGCTCTGCCTCTACAGGCTGCAAAGCAACCAGCTCTCACCCCTCATGGAGATGTCTGCTCAGTCCTATGGCTCCGCATTTGAAGCCTGCTTGCCTGCGGATACATGATATTTCACCTCATGGAAGGCACCATCAGTGAAAGTGGCATGATGATTTTATGTATCACAAAGAAAGAAAAACACTGACCATGAAGCAATACTTTCCATTCTATCACTTTGAATTTTTTAATGCTTACTGAATAAGATTGTTTCTTTCAAACATACATGTTTATGACATGTCACTCTTTTGTGTACATAAAAAGGAAAATAAATTGCTAATGCATACCTTTAAAATTCACATTTAGAGTCTGTTTTGAATCACATTTTGACTCAGAGTTATGTAGCTACATGATTTACAAAAATATATATATATTTCCTCCTTGCCATCAAGATACAGCCTTGGTTTCTTATTATTCTGGAATTTTCTTCCAAGCTGAAGACATCCATTCTGTTAGCATTCTGTCTTTTAGAAGACAGCAAAGGAAGGTTTTAGACAACAACCAGGACTTTTTAATTTATTCTTCCCTAAATGGTTCTTAGTATTTTATTGATGGAAACATCAAGAGATGCAGTGGCCTGGTTTGCCACCAAGAATAACCCAAGTTCATGTGTGTGCAGGCACTAACAACTATGTCACGACTGCCACTTGGCCAGCAGCAACTGTAACATGCCAATTGATTGTGAAATGCACCCTCAGTGAAAAGATGTTAAATGTGAAGGGAAAGTACCTTTTAGTATCAATAAAATACAGTAGCCATACTCTTTAGTACCAGCTTAATCACTAATAAAACGGATGTTCAGTTTCTCTTCTACTTTATTATTTTGTTGTGTTTTTCAATTTGTTCAAAACTTGGATAGGAAAGAGGGCTGCCATTTATTGGGTCCCTTCGAATCCCAATGGGAAGTACCGCTGTTATCCCTATTTTACAAGTTAAAAAAGGAGGCTCAGTAAAGTTAAATAACTTTCCCAAGGATGCACAACTCAGGGGCACAATTGAACTGAATCCTGGATTGCTGTACTGCAGCACTAACCAGCAAGTTCACTGCCCTTTGTAAACCACCCAATGAAAGAGCTTTAAAGGATGGGTACCAGCTAACTTTGAGAAGGACTAAAAATGTGCATGGTCTTTTCAGGAACCTCTAAGCTTTCCTCACTGCTGGAGGGCAGAAAGTAACACAAAGGGGGTGTATGAAAAAAGAGCAAAAGGGAGCATTGCCCTTTGCAAGGATGATAGTCAATTTTGTAAAATAATTTTTTTTTCTAGCTTAAACATGGTTGCCAGGGAAGCCTTCTCTACTTTTGCACTCCAGGTGAAGAGGCTCTGTGATCTGATCCCATGGTAACTTGTACTTCTTCAATCTTAGAACTTATCACACTTTACTGTAATTACTGGTTTAACCATCTCTAACTACAAATAAGCTCTGTGAGCAGAAGATTGATTCTATCTAAGTCATCATCATATTCCCAGAATTCAGTATGGGAACTGGCACAGAGTAGGTACCCCAAAACTGGCTGGCATCTGAACACACAACCCAGTTAGTGGTGGCATGGTCTAGACAGCAAACAGGGATATTACTTAAAAACAAGGGGAACTATTGGATAAATTTAAATATTAGACCAATGTAACCAGGGTTATGTTTTGGAGAGATGTCTCTGGCTACAAGGCCAAAGGGAATTAGAGGGAACAGAGTAAATACAGAGAGATAGTTAGGAGGCTACCACAGTGGCCTGGACATGAAGTCCTGCAGCAAGAAGGTGACAATGATGGGATGTCATTAGCATTTAAGTAATACATAGTGGATTCATGAGAGACCTGCATAAGGAAAGGGCTGATGAAGAAACCTGGGGAATACAAACATGGAAGAGATGAGTGGGAAAGAAGAGTCCATTAAAGGAGGCCAAGAGGAAGCGTCTAGAGAAATATGAAGAACAGAAGAGCCCTATGTCAGAGACACTGAAGGAGAACAGAATTTATAGAAGGAGGAGGAAGATGTGATCAACACGTTCAAATTCAGCCAAGGGTAGAAGTAAGATTTCCATGGGATTAGAAATAAGAGGTCATTTATGGCCTTGAAAAAGCAGTTCGCCTGCAGTGGACATGGAGGCCTTTTCTGAGCTGAGGCTGGGAAATGAGAGCATTCGAGAGAGCATTTGAGAAAGTTTAATTTTCTAGGAGTGTCAATGCGAAGAGAAGAGAACAACTAGATAACAAGGAAGCGAATGTAAAAGGCAAGGAGAATTGTTTTGTCATTCAATCAGATTGAGGATGTAAGTAAACTGGGGGTGAGAAGCCATTAGAGAGGGAGAGAGTGAAGACGTGGAGAAGGGATATGTCTGACTCAGTGAGGTCTCCCACTACCTGGGAAGGTCTTTGCAGAGCAACTGGATACTGTGAGCTTCCATAACAAGGGACACCCAAGGCTGTATGTGTTGACTTCCTGGGAATCAATGCAGAGGGATTATGTTCTACTCAAGGGACGTCAGGATAAATGGAAAGAGAGAAGTGGAAGGAAAGGGGAGAAGGACATCACTCTCATCAATCAGATAAATCACTCCTCTTTCAGCAAGAAGGCACAAATGAAAGGAAGAAGGACCAGAAATATTCCCTTTATATTGGAATGTGCAAAGAAATCCCCTCTGTGCCCATGGATAAGAAGTAGAGTAAATATGAACCATCCAACTCCCACCCCTACCCCTAACCCAGGGCAGTTCCCCAGCCCTCAACCTAGTTATTAAGGCCACTGCAGGAGAGTAACAGAGAAGTCTGGTGCTGGGTTCCTTTCCAAGATATGTCAGAGCTTGACAGCAGAGGGTAATAGCTATTGGTGGGAGGGTCCTGCTTCATTTATTTGAACAGGCTCAGAGAGAATATCTCAGTTTTGATGTGTGGGCATGAGAACAAACCCGGTGGGCTCTATGAAGATCCAAAGATCAATACCCATAAGCTATCCAAAGGCTATGCATAAGGCCTGATCATTGAACAATTTCACATCCCAAGCACACCAAACATTTGTGATTCCCAACACATTTTTGCAAACCATTTGATTTCGCTTGGAACAGACTGCTGTCAGGAGGAACATTTTCCAGGTGGGAAGTTCCCCTTTGTTTCACCCTTGGCAGCCCTTCCTGACATTCTCAGGCACATATCTGCACTCTTCTGCTGTGAACCTTTTCCCTCTAACCCTTTCCGGGGCTAATGGAACCCTCTCAGCAGCAAATCATTCCTTGAGCCTGTATTACATCTCTTCTTCCCAGGATTTGCTCCATGGTTATAATTGGCTGCATTCTGCTCCCCTCTGTCCATAACACCATAGATCATACAGGCAGAGATGGATCCCTAGTGAACTAGAACAAGCTTATGGCTTCAGGAAGGCATTAAGATATGTATATTTTATTTTATCATTCTTTGGGTATAGGGTAGACAAGGCTTGTGTCTTCCTAAACACCCTCCCTGGCTAAATAGTATATGGATAAACAATGCATTATGTAGGTTACATCCAATAAAATCCAAAGGCCACTTATAGGGGAAAACAAGTCCAAAACCTTCCCTTCTCATGACTCTTTTCTTTGTGTGATTGATGAAGTCTGCACTTCTGTTGCAGAACATGAACTCAGTTAAAACAGTTCCTATACATTGCTGCTGGAATCACTTTTGAATGTCCCCATCCTATAAACATATCATATTATAATATCAATGTGAAACCTGCTCACTTTATTGCCTCAGTCCCTTCACAGTTCATTGGTTTACCAGATGCCAAGCATACATCCCCTTTACTGTGTGTGTATGTGTTTTATGGTGGAGGATGCATTATCAGTCCCATCCAAAGTTTCTCGCTGAGGTTTTTCCTATCAATTGTTTCCTTATGGTTCGTAGCATATGGACAGTTTATTCTCTCATCAATCCTCAATGGGCCATTCATGTCCTTGATAATAATAACAGCATTAATGGATGTGTTCCCATTTCAGGATATACCATTATCTCAAGCTAATTTAATTAAACAGCACCACAGCCCTGTGTCCCTGCTTTCTATTGTTCATCATGCTGTTCTCCCACACCCCAAAAGAATGAGTTCCTGAGCTGATAAAGCTCATTCTTCCACTTTGAGAAGCATGGAGGGTCATTGGATGAGGGTTCATGGAGACTAGAATTGGTTAGTGGGTGCAGAGTCACAAGGGGAAGACAAGAAAGGATTAGGCAAAGAAATTAAAGTTCTTTCTACCCAAGAGTTTTGTGGTCTAATAAAATGAGCATGGACAGAAGTTGATGCAAATCACAGCTCTGCCACCTACCAGGTTTTGACCTTGGAAAATTTGAGTGCTTTTAGTTTTGATGTCTTCATCTATAAAATGGACATAAGAATAGACTTTTAAATGGCTGTTTAAAAGAATTAACAACATAATGTAAGTAGAGTCCTTAGCACATGGTTGGAACTTTACCAATGTTAGCTTCTTTCAGCTTCTTCATGTCTCTCAACCTGTTTCTGCAGTGGATGCTGTTAGTATATACTGCAGGTGTGTGCTGCTCTACACAGAAGGTGTGTTTCTAAATAAAGGGTGTAAATTAAATTAGAGAAATGAGTCATATTTTAAATGTAGTGGAGAGTACGCTGTTTAAAGTTCTGAGGTGTTGCATTCTCTTCTGAAACAAAATCACCTTGTTACCCATAACAAGTGTGCATAAAGCAATAGACTGTTGTACAACAGACTTTCTAGAGCTGAGTGATAGAACTTCCTCTTCTCTGTGGTCACTGAAATAATGATACTGTCACTTAATAACATTTACTGAGAGCTTACTATGTATACTTTGCTAGTATTTTATTTGTATTATTTACATTCTCTTGAAATAGATACCATATTATCCCCATCTTATGGATGACAAAACTGAGACATAGAAAGGTCATGCCACATGTTCAAGGTCACATAGTGAGTGGCAAGCTCAAATTTAAACTCTAGCAGTCTGGCTCTCCTGAGAGACCTTAGAGTGGGAGCTCATTTTAAATGGAACCCCAGAAGAAACACTTAAAATGTCTATCTTCCTTAACCCAAGGCTTCTTAAGAACCTAAATTGTATTTTGTATTCATCTGAAGAACCTCTAATTGTACTCTCAATTTAAGGTTCTTAAGCATGTAATTGTACTCTTAAAGTTTTCTTTAAAACTGCATTTGCCCCTTAGACCACAACTAAAATCTGCCACCTGGCTGCTCATCCTGCCAGAAAAACAAGATGGATGGCATTTTAGAGTTCATCTTAAACTTTGCAATTCCCTGGGCTCTTCCGAAAGACCAAAAGTCTCACTCTGTCCATCCTTATGTGAACTCATGCTATCTAGGACCCTGCTTGTGCATTAGACTTTGAGATCTAGAGAAGTAGAATGGGAACGTTGAAGAGTCTGGGAAGGTACAGAACGGAGAAGGTGTAAGTAAGCCTCATCAATTTAATCAATCGAGATTGAAGAAAGAAGGTAGGAATCTAATTACTCATTATCAACTATGCACCAAACCTCATGCTGGGTATTTTCAACCAGGCTGGGCAGGAGGGGTGTCTAGGGTGTAAAATTTAAGGAGGTTCTCACTCCCAGCGTTGTGCAAGTACATCAGTCCTGATTTTCATACGCTCATTTTACTTAACCATCAGGGAAAACTTGATAGGTGAGTGTCTTAGTTCATTCAGGCTGCTATAACAAAATACCTTAGATTGAGTAATTTGTAAACAACAGACATTTATTGCTAACATTTCTGGGGCCTGAGAGGTCCAAAACCAAGGCTCCAGCAGATTCAGTGTCTGGCTAGGGCCCACTCCTCATTGATGGCACTTTCTAGCTGTGTGCTTGCATGTCAGAAAGGCTGAGGAAACTTCCTTAGGCCTCTTTTATAAGGGTTCTAATCCCATTCATGAGGAGTCCATCCTCATGATACCACTCAAAAACTTCCTAAAGACCCTACTTCTTAATACCATCACTTTGGGGGTTAGGTTTCAATGTGTAAATTTTGGGGGGACACATGCTATGTGTTCAGATCCCAGCAGTCTGTATTAACAGCTTGACACATTTGTATCCCATTTGAAAACAGATAAGAATTCAACTCCAAAGCCAACCTATGTTATCAGACTTGTTCTTAGAAATTCATCTTTTCAGTATACCCTTATGTTATCCCAGATTTAACTCAGAAAGAATTTAGGAGATGAGGCTTAGCTTTATAATGTCATTTATGCTAGGATCCATGTAAACAACAGATGTCTCTCTACTATTCCTGTCACTCAAAGTGACTCATCATAATTTCTCCACTTTATAAGACATGGTTCCCTCATCCTCAAAAAGAGAACAATAAGAATATAGCCCAGGGTATCATGGGGCTCGGTGGGTTGCAAAGATGTACAACATTGCACAGCATTATAAATGCTCAGGGAACCCAACCTTAGTGATTGAGAGTCCCTGTGCTCAGGAGACAGTGGAGATTCCAGATCTCAATCAACCTTCTACTTCCTAGCCTAGAAAGAAATTAAGGCACCACCCCCCTCAGCCGCCCCGGGCAAATAAATGACCTGTGGGAAACCTGAGACTCCTAGAGGGTGGGGTTAGCTCAAGACTATCCTCCCAATTTCGGCCTCAGGGAAGACCTCCTCTCGGGTCTCATAGCCTTGTTTCCCCCACCTCTATTTGTATCTCTTCCTGGGGAAAGACGAGTGCCAAAGGCAGGATATGAACAAGTAGTTGGAAAATCGTGACTCAAGCATAAGTCATTCTCCAAACCCTGAAAAACCCTTCCTATCACTTCTACTCTCTTCTTTTTCATGATTCCTCAGGGAAAAAAAAAAAAAATTATTGGTTCAATGTCATGGAAAGAATCTGGTATATTTTATTTTATCAAAATGGTTTTGAGATTTGGGGCAAGAAGGAGTCACTCACACATTTCTGAGGATCCCAAAAGTTTGGATCATGCCTCCTCTGTGGCTGGTCCCTCCCTTCTCTCTGAAGAAGCTCAGTGCCTACCTCAGTGTCAGCTTCATTCAGTCAGGTGTCATTTTCAATGCCATGTCATTTGGGCAGGGCTGTCAGTCTTATTAGGATTGTTCTCCTTGGCACTGGCAATAGCCTATGTCGTGCTTCTCCCAGCAAACAGCCTCAAGACTGGACAATCACACCTTGCCGAATAACTTGAGCTGGCCAGAGTCGAATGCTCACCTCTGCAGACGGCTTGTAACTCACATTACATGGACTTCAGGACGGAGAACTAGAACTCAGGAGACATAACTGAAAAAAAAAGAAAAGGAGAAGTTTTTCTTGTGGCAAATTGGAGAGACACACATGAAGTGCACAGGAGGGCCTGAGCTCAACTGAAAGGAGCCAAGGCAGCTCCCACTCTGTAGAGACTGCTGGTCTAGGAGTGACCTCAACATACATTTCACTCAGGCCTTATTAAATAGTGATAGTGGTCCAGTTTGTCCGGTTCTTTAGGCCTGCTACTAGGTCAGACATTGTCACCAGAAGGAGGCAGTTGTGTGAGCCAGCCTGGGAAGATGTTAGCAAAATAACAGTAGCTGCAAGGCCCTGACTAATCACTTGTATATTCTCATGACAAGCCTAGTCCCTGGTACGTAAGTAGTTAAGACTACTTTCAGAATGCAGTCTTAAAATATATTATAGAAGATGGGTGCAGTGGGTAACACCTGTAATCCCAGCTACTCGGGAGGCTGAGGCAGGGGGATCACTTGAGCCCAGGAGTTCAAGACCAGACTTGGCAACATAGCAAGACCCCATCCCTAAAAATGTTTTTGTTTTTGTTTTTTTTTTTTTTTTTTAATTAGCCTGGAATGGTGGTGCATGCCTGTAGCCCCAGCTACTCAGGAGACTGAGGCAGGAAGATCTCTTTTTTTTTTTTTTTTGAGACGGAGTCTCGCTCTGTCGCCCAGGCCGGACTGCGGACTGCAGTGGCGCAATCTCGGCTCACTGCAAGCTCCGCTTCCCGGGTTCACGCCATTCTCCTGCCTCAGCCTCCCGAGTAGCTGGGACTACAGGCGCCCGCCACCGCGCCCGGCTAATTTTCTGTATTTTTAGTAGAGACGGGGTTTCACCTTGTTAGCCAGGATGGTCTCGATCTCCTGACCTCATGATCCACCCGCCTCGGCCTCCCAAAGTGCTGGGATTACAGGCGTGAGCCACCGCGCCCGGCCTGGAAGATCTCTTGAGCCCAGGATTTGGAGGCTGCAGCGAGCTGTGATTGTGCCACTGCACTACAGCCTCAGTGACAGAGAGAGACTTTATCTCAAAATTAATTAATTAAAATAATAATTTAGAAATTTAAAGATATGTAGATAGGTATATTATTGGTTTTTCTTTGCTTCACTTTCCAACTCTCTTGGTTGACTCTACTGATATGGCCATTAAGAAAAGAGACAATCCGCAGATATAGACATATTCCTTGGCCATGTCTCCTGATGCAAAAGCTCTTGGTAGACCTATGAGGTCTCCAGCTCTAAGAAGTCAGGTCTTAGAAAGCCTGCCAGGAGCTTATTAATCTTCCTTAAGATCTTTTCAGGAATTAGAACCAAGAAAATTTCAGGGTTAAAATTCAAGTACCACCTGGCTGACTAAAACCCGGCATGCCTGTTACAAATGGCACTAGTCTGGAACCGGGAATATTGGGCCAGCTCAGCTCATCTGCCCTAAGGATCTTATCTTAACTTGACCATCTGCAAAGACCCTATTTCCAAATATAGTTACGTTCATAGGTATTGGGGGTCAGGACTTCAACATCTTTTGGGGGAACGCAATTCAGCCCAAAACAGAAGGCTTTATGATGCTCTTCGAACTTGAGTTGGATCTTGAAGAATGTAAAGGATTTATATAGGTGGTGAGGAAAAAGTCTGTTGCATTCTAAGGAAGGAAAATGGCACATGAAAAGGACATGGAAGCTGAGCATGGTGGCTCACGCCTGTAATCCCAGCACTCTGGGAGGCCGAAGCAGGCAGATCACTTGAGGTCAGGAATTCAAGACCAGCCTGGCCAACACAGCAAAACCCTGTCTCTTCTAAAAATACAAAAATTATTTGGGCAAGGTGGCAGGCAGCTGTAGTTCCAGCTACTCAGAAGGCTGAGGCAGGAGAATCGCTTGAACCTGGGAGGCAGAGGTGGCAGTGAACTGAGGTTGCGCCACTGCTGCAGCCTGGGCAACAGAGCAAGACTCCATCTCAAAAAATAAAAAATAAATTTAAAAAGGACATGGAGTTTGGAGTAAGCAAAAGCTTACTCCATGGGGCAATAAAGAAGCCAGCTAATTAAGGAGGAAATTCTTCGAAATCAAGTTGAATAGGGAGTGTGGGTCTGATGATGGAGAGTTTGGGCTGATGGGTAGAGGCTTTTTAACTTGATATAGTTTGAAAAGAGAGCAAAGAACAGGCATGGTGAAAGCCTGATGTCCAGAAAACCCAGGTTAAGACAAAGGATAAAAATTATGTACATTATTAATCACCAACCATATTCTGATTTTTTCTAGGTGCTGGAAAGAGATTGGAGTTTCAGGAAACAAATATTATCCCTGTTTCATATTCATGGATTTTCTCTCTCTAACTATGTAATTATAAATTGAGACAAGTGCTCAAAGGAAAAAGAACTTCTCTCTCTAGAGTGCATAATGAAGGAGCTTGACCTAGACAAGGTCAAGAAAGGTGTCTCTGGAAGGGGATGTTTGCTCTGAGAGCTGTGGGATGTGTAGGAGTTAAGCAGGGGCAGTTTGATAGGGAAGAAGGAAGCCAAGTTGTATGGAATAGAAGAGTAGTGCAGTCAAAGTTTCTACATGGGCCCAAGCGCTGAGCACTCAGAGGATGTTGCCTAGAAAGCTGTTTTAAAAGTATAAATGCCATTCAGGACATAGGCATGGGCAAGGACTTCATGTCGAAAACACCAAAAGCAATGGCAACAAAAGCCAAAATTGACAAATGGGATCTAATTAAACTAAAGAGCTTCTGCACAGCAAAAGAAACTACCATCAGAGTGAACAGGCAACCTACAAAATGGGAGAAAATTTTCGCAACCTACTCATCTGACAAAGGGCTAATATCCAGAATCTACAATGAACTCAAACAAATTTACAAGAAAAAAACAAACAACCCAATCAAAAAGTGGGCAAAGATATGAACAGACACTTCTCAAAAGAAGACATTTATGCAGCCAAAAGACACATGAAAAAATGCTCATCATCACTGGCCATCAGAGAAATGCAAATCAAAACCACAATGAGATACCATCTCACACCAGTTAGAATGGCAATCATTAAAAAGTCAGGAAACAACAAGTGCTGGAGAGGATGTGGAGAAATAGGAACACTTTTACACTGTTGGTGGGACTGTAAACTAGTTCAACCATTGTGGAAGTCAGTGTGGCGATTCCTCAGGGATCTAGAACTAGAAATGCCATTTGACCCAGCCATCCCATTACTGGGTATATACCCAAAGGACTATAAATCATGCTGCTATAAAGACACATGCACACGTATGTTTATTGCGGCACTATTCACAATAGCAAAGACTTGGAACCAACCCAAATGTCCAAAAATGATAGACTGGATTAAGAAAATGTGGCACATATACACCATGGAATACTATGCAGCCATAAAAAATGATGACTTTATGTCCTTTGTAGGGACATGGATGAAATTGGAAATCATCATTCTCAGTAAACTATCGCAAGGACAAAAAACCAAACACTGCATGTTCTCACTCATAGATGGGAACTGAACAATGAGAACACATGGACACAGGAAGGGGAACATCACACTCTGGGGATTGTTGTGGGGTGGGGGGAGGGGGGAGGGATAGCACTACGAGATATACCTAATGCTAAATGACGAGTTAATGGGTGCAGCACACCAGCATGGCACATGTATACATATGTAACTAACCTGCACATTGTGCACATGTACCCTAAAACTTAAAGTATAATAAATAAAAAAAAAAAAGTATAAATGCCTAGGTTCTACCCATGCATTGGAGATCCCTTGTAAAATGGAAACGCATTCCCTGGGGATAGAGTAGCAAGTGTATGGCCTAACCTTGATCTACTAAATTGGTCTTGAGTAGCACACAGGAATATTCTTAAGTCTTTCTTCTGAACCTTGGCCAGTTTTGGAAACCACTAGATCAGATATCTAGGGCCTCACCTAAATAAAGAAGGAAAGTTTTGTTCTCAGTGTTGCCTTTTTCTGCTGTCAGAGGCCACCACCTTTCTTCTCCTTACCCTCTACCCCCTTCCCGTCCATAGTCCATGCCTATCTTGTGCAGGAGTACACATGTGCAGGCACACACACACACACACACACACACACACTTCTAGTGCCCATTTCTCTGCTTGCCAGGATGTCTTCCGAAATCCTTCTCTCTGGCCTGCTCTCCCAAGCTGTGCCCCAGACTGAGGGCCTTTCATGATCTCTTTCTGCAGGAACACTGAACTGACCCATTTTGTAATCACTTAGGACCCTGCTATCTGCTAATTAATAAAGTTATCTACAGTTACATATTGACTGGTAAAAATCATTCCAGATAATTATAATGATAACTTACATGTAAGGATATGTGGTACCATAACTTAAAATGGCATTTTAAGCACTCTCATTTAGTATTTCTAGCAGAACTAAACTGTTGTGTAATACTAGCCACACTCAACAGGTGATGTGTCATCATTGACCAAGGTTAGGCAGCAAACTTGCTACTCTATCCCCAGGGAATACATTTCCATTTTACCAGGGGTCGCCACCCTCCTTCTTAAGGCAGAGGAATGGCTGGTATTGAGTTCATCTTAAAGCAAGCCTTGACAGGATTAGGGTGGGGATACAGGGTAACTGGGCAGGAGGAAACTTTTAGCACTACAATATATGGGAGACAATACAGTAGAGGGATTAAGAGCAGTATGTCTGGGCTTTTTAATGAAAAGGCTTGAGTTCAATACCCAGTGCTGCAATATATTAACTGTGTTGTCTTGGTCCAGTTGCTTAATCTCTTTGACTCCAGCTTCCTCAACTGAAAGTGGGGTTAATAGTAGTACCAACCTCATAAAATGGGTGTAAAGCTTAAATGAGATAATTCATTGAAAGCATTTAACAAAGTGTCTAGCACATATTAAACCTACTTTTTAATTGTTGTTATTAAACCACTTAGGCAACTGCCTTCCCTTTTGTGAGACTGGCCTTAGAGACAGCCAACAGAAAATGAAAATGGATGTGTTTGTATTAGTGGGAGGTGGGAAGATAAGGAGGAAGAATTGAGAAAGCAAAGGGAAGAAAAGACTGCAAAGCTCTCTGCTCACTTGGCCCTCTTCTGATTCCACCAGCACAGGTAGGCCATTTTCTTGCCCTGCCAGAAGGAGTAGAAATTGAACTGTGATCTGGAGAGCTATCTGTTCTGATCATTAGTCAAACACCGGGAGCCAGTTAGACCTAATTGTCTTTGAAAAATCTGAAGACCAAACACTTTTTTTTGGAGGTCAGGCTGCATAACTGAGAAGGAGTCAGAGGTACCTGGGATGAAAATAAAGGCATAATAGGTTCATATAGTTGGTCTGAAAATTAGCTTTAGGGATCTCCTTATGTTTGTTTCTTAATGGTGTGAAACATAATAATGGCTTTGGCCATAATAAAGATGAATTAGGGTTTTTTTTTCCTGAAAAATAATGAAACTTTAGTAAACATCCCAGGTTTATCACTTAATTTATCCCTAGCTCATGGGGAAAGAGACCTCCCCCCAACCCAGCCCCCATTTTTAATATTCCAAGCTACTAGATTTCAATAACCCACTCTCCAGCAATGTGTGTCTCATTTCCCTGGACAGACCAAATAGGCAATAACAGCCTCTCGGTTAGAACACTAATGTTGTGATTTAGAACTTCTGTCAAGATGAAAGATCTTTGCTGGGATCCTCAGAGGGCCCACAGCAACACTTCAACCCAGGCCCGGATAATGAAGTTTTCATTATTAAATAAAGATATTTTAGGAATGTCATAAACCATAAATCCACTCTCTTCTATTGCCCTGCCACCTTATTGTGTTTATTTCTAGCAAAAGTCCATCCTCTCTCAATTGCCCCAACTCCTCCAAGCTTGGTGTTTCTTGCCTTTCAACCCCTTAATCCCACTGTGATGCACTTATGTTGCCATGGCAATAGAAGACTGTGTCTTCTCCCACATTGAGACCCAAAGGCTATAAAAAAGGTAGATGTCTGCGGAGAAGAGGAGTGCCTGCTCCCTCTCCCTGTTGGCTTCCTCCTCCCCACCTTGTCCTGCCAATCAGCTGAGAGACTGACTCCACACAGCTTTATCTCACCTCAAGGAAATGCTAACATACGCCATCAGGTCTGGCTGTACTTAAAAATTATGGCACAATCAATTTTTAATGTGAATTTAGTGCTGGTTGGAAGCTTTAGACTCTGAGTCCTAGGAAAATGATTCATCTGTTTATTCATTTGCCAAATATTGGGGTGTGGTTTTCTCAAACCCCACCTGCCTTAACCTGGTTGTGCTCTTGCCGCTAAGATCACACACAGTCTTACTGAGGCTGCTCATGCCAGGCTCAGGAACCTGCTCCCTGTAGATCCAGCCCCATGCTGGATAGCAGAGGGGAAGAAGAATGGACACTCTTACTTTCCCAAGGCCTGGTGACACAACAGAGTCAGAGGGCAAAGAGAGCTCAGACACTTCTCAGCGAACTCCATAAATAAGAGAAGCAGGACATCTGAAATTAGGAACTCATTTAGCCACCCCCAACCCACTATTGAACTACACCTGACAAGCCAGCTGTCTTAAAGATTTAGGGGAAACTTTCCAGTCTATCCCAGGAACTCACTCATATTTGCATGTAACCAAATGTCTCTTTGCTGTGAATTAGGCTCATATTCAAAGGAGATGAAGATCTACTTATAACAGAAGGGGAGTGTTAATACTTAGGGAACTAGCTTGTACTTGTATTTTTGTTTATACTCATGATCCAAATGAAAGCAAAAGGAACTGTAAGATTAATCAAGGATGAATTTGTAGATATATCCGAGGACAAAAATGACGACTCCATATGGCTTCCAGCCATCTCTGTGTAGTTTCTTCCATCACAGTGATATTTGACATTGAACAGATTAAGCAATAAGATATAGTTTTTAAAAATCACTTTTTCATCTCCATTGCTCAATGAGCTTCAGGAACAGTTGGTCTCAGCAAAAAACACTCTTTTCTGAAAACATCTGAGAATCCAAATTATGAATTATATATATTATATATATGTGTGCGTGTATGTGTGTATATATATATATATATTTTTTTTTTTTAAAGTCCATCTAGAAGCACACATCAATCAGTTTGGGCTATTTATTGGAGGAGAGGACACAACAAGCCATAGAATGTTATCAGCACTTGAATTAATTGAAAATAAATTTCCCCTCCCAGCGCTAAACAAATGACGAATTTTTTGTATGATAACACACACCAGCCTGCAATAGGTTGCTAAGATTCCATTAATTTAAAAAAATCTCATTTGAAGATAGTTAACGGTTTCTGCATTTCCACAAAGCGCTAGTCAGACTAGTCAGATTACATTCCCCTGAACTTCAGGGTCTGTGCTGATTACTACTCAATTAGTTTTGATTCAATTCACTGAAGAAAAATGTCCATTTCATTAGTGTGGAGAAATAACCATTGGACACAAAATATATTTCTCAGCATTGCTATGGCAACTGAGATGACACAGCTGAGCTCAGAATGTTAATGCCTTCCCTGGGACTACGTTTTTAAGTCAGCATGCGGTCATTAAGCCTTGCTGGGTGGGGGTGGCTCCGCCACATCGCCATCGCAATTGGCAGGCAGAAGAACCCATGGCACTCCCAAGAAGGCTTGGTTCCTGCCACTCGCCTCCCCTGCCACGCCCCTGTGGGCTGGGCATATCAGCAATAGCATAGATTGTCATCTTGCAAGTCCCCAAGGCCCCTCTTTATGTGACATGCAGAAGTCCAGCTGGGCAGTGAAAAATGCGGTCTGTCATCTAGATGTGTTTTCCTATGTGTTGTCTGTTTTGTGAATGCATGCAACTGTCCGGGTGATGAACTGACTTTTGAGCTTGTCATTGTTGCATTCCAGCCAGCACACCATTGACAGAGAAGTGAGGAGCAAGTGGTTCAGCAGTTCAGTAAATATGGCGGTCAACCTGAAACACTCTGCCCACTTGAGGAAGACTTGACTGTCATCTGCACCCCGCAAGACATGTAGGCAAAGGACGGGAAAGCAGATTCTAGATTACGAAGCAAATAAATGGATCTGTTTGTATGCAATAGGGAGCAAACATGCCAATACCAGTCTTCAGGAATAATAGATGTGGCCATTATTTAGATGTTAATTAGGGCATAACCAAATTAAACCATAACAAAATTTCACTTGGGAGACTGAATTTTCCAGGTTAAATGAATAATTGCCCATATTTTCCCTTAAGCTATGGTGGCATAATCTTAGGTTACCAATTAATAATTGATTGCTGTATACTGTGTTCAAGGCTCCATGCCTTAGGTTACAAAGATTAAGTACATGGAGCCTACGCCCTCAAGGGACAGTTTAGTAGGGAGATAGCATATGAACTATTAATGAAAGCTACTATGTATTGAGTACTGACTATGTGCCTGGAAGTGTACTAAGTACTTTATATGCAGTATTTTAATGTAATCCTCATATTAGTATTATGAGGAGGATGTTAGCTCTATTTTATAACCAAGTACACTGAGGCTTAAAAAAGGGACTTGGCTAGTCAATTACTAGTTCAATTATGGCAAGTAACTGACAGAGCTGGATGCAAACATAAGTTTCTGACTCCACAATCACTTGGAACCACCATGCACACTGCCTTTCACGTACACATGAATAGAAAAGGCAGGCTGTAAATATTCAGGGCCCAGTGACTTACAAAAGTAAATACCTGATCTGTAAGGAAAGTAGCAAGTCTGATTGCATTTAATTAATTTAACTTCCCTTTTAAAATTCATCTTCAAAATAATGGGCAAAATCAGAGTGTTCCATTTCTTCCATTAAGCAGATGTTCTGCACATTGCCTTCCTGCTCCTTCTGCGACCACAGGGAGAGGAAGCACGGCTGCTGCAAGAGCTGCCAAAAGGCAGGGAGCAAGAGCTAATTCCACAACAAGAGCAAGCTCACAGTCGGTGATCTCAGTGTCAGAGTCCCACTCTACCCTCTTGGGATCCTATGTATCTGAGCTGCTCTATGTTTAATCATCATCATGTCACCATCAAAAATATTTATTAAACCGCTGCATACATATGATTCTGGTCACCCCATTTGTTCTTGCTCCCTTGGCACATTATGTAATTTCACTCTATTTGTTTCCAGTGGTTTGACATAATTTTATATCATCTTTATACCTCTTCAGATACAGTGCTCAAAACACCCAGACCCAGACCTCTCTGAGTTCACAGAGTAGATTCTTACCCTTCTCTTTGCCTGACCACAGCAGGAGCAGTGGATCTTGGTGACAGGGATCTTTGTTCAGGGCTGGCCCAATGGCTGTCTCTTCCATGTGAAGCAGAATTAACCAACATAGGTGGGGGCTTGCAATCTAAAATTATGCCACAGATAAAACATGCAATGAGCACACATGCCACTCTGTAGATGGATTTTGTTGCTAGAATAACATTTGTGAAAATGTATTCTAAGAAAACCTAATTTCTTAGAATATTAAAGGATGTTATAATCATGCAGTTCAGAACATGCTACTCCAAAACATGGCACCTTGGCATTTAAGAAAACAACAGAAGCAGGACCTTTGCCATTCTCCCCTGAAGTGGGCCATAAAATAATTCTCTGACTTTTCTCTAGGGTAGGGCATAAGACCCTCATTCCAGAGGAGTCCTCCCTGTACCCAGAGAAAAGGAATGAAGACACAGGGACACAGAGAAAAACATGAACAAGGCCATGCGCAGTGGCTCAAACCTGTAATCTCAGTATTTTGGGAGGTCAAGGTGGGAGAATGACATGAGCTCAGGAGCTTAAGATCAGCCTAGGCAACATGGCAAGACTCCATCTTTACAAAAAAAATTAAAAAGCTAACCAGGCATGGTGGCACATGCCTGTGATTACAGCTATTTGGGAGGCTGAGGCAGAAGGATCTCTTGAGCCCAGGAGGTCAAGGCTGCATTGAGCCATGTTTGAGCCACTGCACACCAGCCTGGGTGACAAAGCAATACCCTGTCTCATTTGGATTTTTTTTTAAAAAAAGAATCTGAACAAATAGGCCTTGCTAAGTTTCCCCCAAATTATTACCATTAGTAATATTCCTTTGTCCTCCAATCATACTTCTGCACCACTGTGCATAAAAACACAATCTTTTCTGTTTCTTTGGGTCTTCATTTCTGAAGGCTCTCATGTTAGGTAAAACTTAAATATATTTGTATGCTTTTCTCTTGTTAACCTGCCTTTTATTATAGCGGTCTCAGCCATGAACCTAAATGGGTAAGGTAAATATATCACTTCTCCCCTACAATAGAAAAACAAAAGGGGGAAGAGGAGGTTCTCCAGTCAATTATGTTTAGGAGATGCTGGGTTAAACAGTGTTAATCAGGTTGGTTTGTTTGTTTGTTTTCTGCCAGGGTTCTCAGAGATCTTAATATACTCCTGTATTGTATGATTCTCCAAGTGAAGAGAATGGAGGGAAGCATTATCTACAGATCCATTTTTATGCTGCTGGAGCACTGAGGCACCACTCTTTTGCAAGTTCTGGAAAAAACAGAGCAGGGGTCAGTTTAGAAGCCTAACCTGTATACCTACATCAGGAAGCTCGGAAAATGGCTTAGACCACTGGGACATTTTGCACGAAGATTCCTAAGCTTCATGGGGGACATGTTAAGGGCTTTGGGACTGATATTTGAGCCCAGGAAACAGAGCTACCAAATTAAGGCTTACAAATAAGACAAGGTTAAAAAAAAATCTGGCCCCCAATCCCAGAAAGAGTGGCCCAAATGGGCTGGAAACTAGCCACCCTGAGGTAGGAAAGAGTTCAGGAGGTAGGAGTGAAGGAAGTAGGAAGAGGTTCAGACCTAACCTAGCACAATGATTTATAACTTTTAGAGAAATCCTCTGTATAGAACTGAATACTTTGAGAAATGTAAGACAGAAAATTCTGATTGAATTAATTTCAACAATAGGCACATTGATACACTCAGCCAGTAAGAAGACCAGGGTTCAGAACTTTAGAATCTCCGTGATTCTCTTAGTTCACACCGCACATTGTTTCTTGGATCCCACATCAGCCTCTTCCTTGAGTTTGCTCTTTCAGTTTGCTGGAGTAGATAACTTAGGAAGGATACATTGAACAAATTTTCTAAGTCCTTGCATGTCTACAAATATTCCTGTTTTACTTTCACAATTGATTAACAGTTGGCTAGGTCTAAATTGAAAATCTAGGTTAACAAATGTTCTTCCTCAAAATATTGAAGTCATTTCTCCATTGCCTGTTGGCATCCAGTGATACTGCTGAGAAATTCAAAGCCAGCTTAATTATTTTCGCTTATGTATAACTTTTTCTTGCATTGACTTTTAGGATCTTCTTTTTAACCTTAATCTTCTGCAGTTTTGACTTTCTAAATTGGGATTTATCATTGTTTTACCCTATTCAGACCTCATTGATCCCTTTCAATCTGCAAATGGAATCTTTAGCCCTGGAGAATTTTTTCTAGTACATCTTTGATAGTTTTCTCTCCTCAACTTTCTATATTGTCTCCTTCTGAACTCTTTTTTAGCGTTTGGAGCTTCCGGATCAATTCCTTATGTCATCTATACATTCTCTAGTTTTCTGTTTATCTCCCTAATTGTTCTAGATTCTAGAAAATATCTTCAACTCATCTTCCTATCATTCTACTAATTTTTAAAAAAAATTAAATATTAACACTTACATTAGTTAGGGCAACACTATCTGCTGCTGTAATAACCCCCAAATTTCAGTGGCTTATCATAATAATCACTAACTTCATATTAGCATAACTTTTTGAACACAGGTTCCCCTGTTTAGCAGGCAGCTCCTCCCCATCCAAAGAATCAGAGATTTGGACCCTTTCCACCTTTTGACTCTGCCGTCCTCCAAGGCCTCACATTGCCTTGCATTCTGCCAGAAGAGGGAGGAAGGTGATGAAAATCTTATTCTCAACAGCCTTGGCATGAAAATGTCACATGTCTCTTCTGCTCACATTCCAACTGGTGAAAATAGTCATTTGGTCCCACTAGATGCAATAGGGAGGAGTAGGGTGCACTGTAAAATGTACTTCCTGGTTAACAACTGCTTCCCCATAATAACTACATACTTGGGAAGGAGGAACACAAATTTTGTGTTCAATTGATGACCATTAGCAGTCTTTGCTGTAGTAATTATATACTTTTTTTTCTTTTTGTGAGCTCAGTCATGTTCTCTGATTGTTCCTTGCCTAGAGTATACTTATCTCTTTTGTTCATAAGTGATTGCATCTTTTTCTTTTTTTTTTTTTCTTTTTTTGAGACAGAGCCTCTCTCGATCACCCAAGCTAGAGCACAGGAGTGCAGTGATGCCATCTCAGCTCACTGCAACCTCTGCTTCCCTGGTTCAAGCAATTCTCATGCCTCAGCCTCCCAAGTGGCTGGAACCACAGACACACACCACCATGCCAGGGTAATTTTTGTATTTTTGTTAGAGAAAGAGTTTTGCCATGTTGCCCGGGCAGGTCTCAAACTCCTGGCCTTAAGCAGTCTGCCCACCTCGGCCTCCCAAATTGCTGGGATTACAGGAGTGGCACTTTTGTCTAAGATCAGCTATTCTTTGTTATTTTGGCCATTCTTTTTTAAAATTATTTTTATTTTGCAGTTTTGAAGCCTGTTTTATTTTGAATACTTGTTCCCAGTGATCTTGGCCACTCTCATTCATGCTGTTGTTTCCTTTAGTTCTGGAGATCCTTGTTTATGTATATTAAAGAATTGAGATGTAGGTTGATTATTCTGAGTAGATGGATTGAGTTCAACTACTGTGGGCTTGTAGGCCTAACACCCCCAGCAGTCCTCTTTCTTGGCGGGAGAGCTGACGTCTTTGTACAAGGGTGGACTTATCCACTAGCAGTTTCACTCCAGGTTACGTGGAATCAGAATGGGAGAGTCAGCAGCCACAGACTACAAGCTCCACAGGGACCAGGAAAGGAAAGACTACTCTGGGCCACCACTCCCAATTAAGAAGCCTTGGTTACTCCAGGAAATTCATCTTTAGAGAAGAACATCTAGATGTTTTCCTAGGGAGTTTGCCGGTCATTCTGTGAACAGGACAGGACAGGAGAGGGTGGATGTAACCAGCAAAGCCTTCCACAGATGAATCATAGATTAACCCACCTCTTTGCAATTACTCTTTCCCCTTCTGCCCTCCTTACCAACACCAAGCTGCAAGTGTGTCCAGGTTTTAATCAGCATGACAATCCTACCTGCACTGCAGCCTCACCCAGCAAATGCTCAAGCCTGGACCGCTTCCCCCACTGTTTCCTCTGTGAACATGCTTCCATTCATCCTGTCTGATGTGCTGTAACCTCTCAGCTGATGAACCTGCCCACCCCCATACATTTGCCACCAGGTATTCATTGTTTTGTATACTTTCCAACTATCATTTTGACGATGCCCGACGAGGGGGAAAGTCTCCATTTGCCAGCCTCTACAAAATTAGAAAAATACTTGTAAATGTCCTTTGGAGAATATCACCAAGTTTTATGAGAAAGAAGGGCTATAAAAAATAAAAAGCAGCGGCTAATAGCATTCTAAAAAGATGTTGGTCAGCTTTCGGGAGAAATTACCTTTCAATTTACATGGACTGACTCCATACATTCATTTATTCGTTCATTTTTTTGTAATAAATACTGAAAGTTTATTATTTACCACAGGCTACCACAGGTAGCAGGGCAAGAACCATGAACAAAAATGGTCTTCTAGTCCCATCCTCAAGGAATTTAGAATTTATGGGTAAAATTACCATTTGAAATTTGAATTTATTTGCACACTGTTAGAAGTTCAGGATACTAAGAAAGCACATTTTAAAAAAAAGCACAGAAACCAGACTTTGTATTTCATGGAAGGACTACTGGAGGAAGTAATCTGAGAAATAAAATAGAATCAGCCACATTAAGGCATGGGGTAGGGTGGGATTGAGTGTTCCAAATAGAGGAAATAGTATGCTAGAGCCTCAGAAGTGGCTCCCACCTGCCCATACGAAAAACTTCACACATGAATATTGACTGTGCTCGGAATGCCCTCCCATCTACCACTCCCAATCCACCAACTGTGGCAAAATTCTCAACTCAGGCACTCACCCACTCTTTGAGGAACTAATGGAATCTTCCCCCACAGGTCTAGGCATTTTCTTCCATTTGTACCTTATATGTTCTATGGTTTTAGCAACGGGCACACTCTGTAAAAGTGTCGGGTTCCTCCTTGTATCTATCACCAATCTAAATTCCCTGAAGTCAGGAGTTGTGTTTGATTTACATTTATATCTCCTGCACTGGCATAAAGAGTGAATGCCAAGGGCTACGTAGACAATTGATATATCTTGAATGTTGAATGATGAATAAATGGAATGAATGAAGTGACAGAATTATGACAATATATTGCTTGCCCTCAGTTGTATACAAATTTAGTGTGACTCAGAAAAAAAAGTCGAGAGTTATAGTGAATGATTTACATATTCATTCTATGGGACCTTGGTATAAGCACTAATAAAAGATAAGGCTTTGGAGAACTCCCCTAAAACTGCTGTCACCTATAATAATACAGCATGCCAACTTAGCATTCACATTCTGAGATGAATTAGCAGGAATAAGGAAAGTCTTTATTAGGATACCTATCATAATACCAGCTTTACCTCTCCTGCTTTCCTTACCTCTGCAGGCTAAGTAGACATCTGAGAAGGGATAAATTCCCTCTGGATATGTGTAAGTTCCCTGCCCATGACATAAATTTTCTTCAAATGGGACTACAGAGGCAGGGGAATGAGAGTTGAGGTTGATCTAATCAATTCAGCCTAAATTACAGGTTCTTCTCACTATATATCAGCAAGTTTTATCAATGGATAAAAATAGGTATTGCTACAATGTGTATACATGATGTTATGATGATGCACATCAGAAGGAGTTTTGGCATAAGTGAAGCAAGACAGAAGATCAACTGCAGGAGAGTAACGGGTAAGAGCCACAGCACATAATCAAGCAGGCACCAAAGAAAGATCACATATTTACAGCAAAGTGTAAGAACATGGTCGCATGGGTATTTAAGAAAACACGAGTATAGCCAGGACAAGAACCAACTCAGCTCAAAAGTAACCCAGTGCTGAAGAACAACCAGGTGAATAGGGTTGGAACTACAGCGACTGAATAGACACTGGGAGACTCTGCTGTACTCTAGCAATCTTTGCTTTGCTCGCTTGTTTAGTGTTCAATTCTGTATCTTGAGCACAATAAAAAACTGAGAACAATGGCTAGTCTAATATTTGCACTGTTCTGCTAATATATTTGGGTAGATAAAATACATCTTTAGATTTCTAACTCTGTATTTAATCATCAACACTAAGTATTATTAAACTTCCATAATTGAAAATAATCTCTATTATTAGAGTGACCATGCATCCTACTTTGCTTGGAATACTCCTAGTTTATATCTATTATCCCAGATCCAGCACAGTTTAACATTCATCCTAGAATTTTCATTTTTTTGGCAAAGCCTGAAAATATACTAAGATGAGTTTGGTAATTCCCACTTTGTATGTCTAGCTTCTGCTAGGGTCTTGTCTCATAGTACGTAGTGGACAGTGTTCTGATTAACACATGGTTTAATCTGACAGATGATAAGTGGTAGCTTAACTTATTTTTCCTTTCCCTTTCAAGACACGTGGTGCCAACACCTTCTTTTCAAGGACAGCATACACTCCCTGATAAAAAAGGAGGCTTGTAATAGGTGGCGAAGGACCACTAACTCCCCTGATCTCAGGCAGCAATGGGAGAAGTATTCACTGTTGCTGCCCCTTCTGGCCACTTGGTGTATCAGCAGCTAGCTGTGCTGTGACCAGGACAATGCCCAAAGCCACAGCCTGTGAGTTCCAGAAGTCATCAAGCCACTGCTCAGTAGGATAGTAGGAATTGTCAGAAATCTTACTTTTGGAATATGTAAACTATGTACAAGCAATATAGACCTTACTGTCATAACATAGACCACAGAGAGAGTCGTTTGAACACTTTTTTTCAGGGGTGTGGTATTTATAGTATGTATGATCTAAATCTACAATTATGTATGTACTTTACTGTTTAGTAATGCTTTGTTTTATTTTGTCCTTTTCAAAGAAATAATCTCAAAAAGTGTAACATTTAAGGAAATATTAAATATTGAATTTTCATGTCTTAAAAAAGTTGATGGTGAAGATGCAAATTGCACAAATTATTGGTGCACATTTACCATCTACCTGAAATCTACCAGAAGGCACACATATTCTGAAGAAGCATTAGCATTTAATTCAAAAGTTAGTGATTATTTTAAGAAGACTATTTCCAAAGATGTCAATTTAACAAGTATATACAGCTGCAGAAGTTTCATAATCAACTCTGAGAAGCATGACTTTTCATTTGGATCAATGTTCTAATAAAATTAAGAAACTTCTGGAGCAGAACTCTAGTTAAAATTGGTTGCACTAACCTGTTATTCATAAAGTGTGTCCCAACATGCTTAGATATCAAAATAGAAGCAGTATTTAAAGCAGCTAAATTATAAATCTTTGTGACAACATTCATGTTTAATTTTTTTTAAGTTTCAGTATGGCAATGCATGTTTTATCTTTTTACAACAAAGGACTGAATGTTTATGTCCCACTAAAAACTATATGTTGAAATTTGAACCCCAAAGCGATGGTATTAGAAGGTGGGACCTTTGGAGGGTTATTAGGCTGTGATAGTAGAACCCTTATAAATTGGATTAGTTTCTTTATAAGGGATTCCAGAGAGAGAGATCCTTCACCTCTTCTGCCATGTGAGGACATAGCAAAAAAGTGGCCATTTATCTAGGAACCAGGATACAGCCCTCCACCGACACCAAATCTGCTGGCACTTTGATTTAGGACTTCTCAGCCTCCAGAACTGTGAGAAATAAATTTCCATAGTTTATAAGCCACCCAGTCTATGGCATTTTTTTTTATGGCAGCCCCAACAGACTAAGACACTCATCATTAGATTTGTAAAATGTTTTCATTTTTAAAGAACTAATTTGTAGATCAACCTAAGTATCTTACAATAGTATTGAACCTTATTGTAAAACAGTCCTCCAAATTAAGGTTGAATTTTGTTTGAAAGAAATTGCAATTTTTTATTCAAAATGTTTGACACATGCACGAGTATGTTCATTGCAATACTATTCACAACAGCAAAGGCAAATCAACCTAAATGCCTGTCAATGGCAGATTGGATAAAGAAAATGTGGTACATATACACCATGGAATACTATGCAGCCATATAAAAGAACAAGATCATGTCTTTTATGGGAACATGGATGGAGCTAGAGGTCATTACCGTTAGCAAACTAATGCAGGAATGGAAAACCAAATACCGCATGTTCTCACTTCTAAGTAGGAGCTAAATGATGAGAACTCATGAACACAAAGAAGAGAACAACAGACACTGGGGCCTACTTGTGGGTGGAGGGAGGGAAGGGGGAGAGGAGAAGAAAAAATAACTATTGAGTACTAGGCTTAGTACCTGGGTGATGAAATAATCTGTACAACAAACCCCTATGACATGAGTTTACCTATATAACAAATCTGCACATGTACCCCTACACCTAAAATAAAAGTTAAAAAATAAAATAAAATAAAACCGCTTTCATTAAAAAAAATGTAAGGGAACACCAAATAATTTCAACTTTTGAAATGGATATCAAATTGTAACTATTGAAAGAAAAGGTTGACACCAGAAAAACGATGAAATTTAATCCCACAAAAGCAAAGGAAGAACTGAACAAACTAGATGATAGGAGATGAAAGGCATAAAACATTTAGTTTTGAAATTCTATAATTACATTTTGGAATATGTTGACCTCTGGGAAGAATCTTGTGATGGGGTTCCCTTTTTTACTATTGGATAATCTTATATTCTGTACTGGAATAGAACTATGTTGAGGTAGCCTTCCAATGTGGAGATAATTCATTGACAAATTTTGTTTGGTAAAATTATTTTTTGAAGAAATGGATGCAAAAAGATAGTACATGTGAAAACATTTGATATAAAATATTTATATATTTAAATACTTTTAAATGGTTTCAAGAATATCTTCCAATCAGCAGATATACTCTGAGCTTACCACTTACCCCAATACCTGAGGAATTTTCTCAATTAGAAATAGTATTGCCTATAAAGAAAAGTCAGTTGAAGTTATCAACAATTCTAAATTTATTAAGCATAAGATGTAGCTTTGAGGGAGACTGCAGTCAACTTTATAAAAAAAATTGAATAATAAGCCATATTAAGAAGTCTTCTTTAGAAAAATACTTATAGTATTAGAGATTGATACAATCAATAAATGAAATTTGCACTCGTTCATGTATGAAAAGATATACCAAAAATAATGATTGACCTATGTTATTTTCTGTGTTCACAGAACCAATATAAAGGAATTTTATCTTACTTTAAGTATATGATACTTGTTCCTTGTATTTTTTTAAAACATTCACCTTTTTTGGAAGTAATTGTTGAATAGAACTAATTCATATATTCTCCCATATCATAAACCCATTCGTAAGTTAATAAATGCATATTTCAAAAGTTATATAGTCTGTATTATTTTAGTACTCCCTTCCACTCTACCAACTTTGCACTTACCTCATGGGCAAGTCTTGTTTCTCATGGACAAAGTGGTAGACAATTTCTCTCTCAATGTAACAAGGAGAGCCTGTATCTCAGAGCTCCTGCCCCAGTGGCTGTATTGTCCTGAAACAGTCGTGATTTAGGGACTTCCCAGAAAATGGAACAGACACTAGCTGGAGCCTCATCCTAGATTTTAACATTAACTCATGGAAACATAAACTCCAAGCTAGAAAGAAACTAAAGAAAGAATGCAATTTAGACCTGTCCTACAACTGCAACTTCCACTCTTAGATTGGTATAGTGCACCAGAAAAATCAGCCTCAACTCTTTTTCCAAACAGTAGATCTTGGAAACTAGAGGGGGAGCAGTTTCTCAATCAAGCCATCACAATAGCAAATGTAATTTTATGGACACACTAGGCCTTCACTGCAGGAGTAAGAGCCCAGTTGATAAAATATATATTCTGTAACCATGCAGATTTTTGCAAAAATAAATGTATTTTTAAATAAAGTCATTCATAGACTATAGATATGTTAAGTATCTCTCAATGTGTTCTCTCAATCAAACATATTGGTTATAAAAATTGGAATTCATCAGCATATTACACATTTATGAGAATCTGCCTTCTCTACAGAGGGCAAAGGCACAGGACAGATGGCAGGTGTGGGACTGGCTCAAGCTGGGAGAAAGTCTTGATTGGGAACTTTAAACCAATACCGAAAACGATACATTTAAAATTTCTATTACACACAGAAATAATGGCTTTTTAAACATGTTTATAAAACTTAACAGTCAGTGTAAAAATTATGGAATTAGCATTTCCAAGTCCTTTTATTTGGTATCTTAAACAGCGGGATTGTTTTATTAAGCAGAGAACTGATTTTAGACATACTGTTTTTAGATTTTTCTCTTTATTGGAGCATATCATATTTGTCAATTTTTAAGAGGACTGCCCTATCTGAAAATATGTACCCTTCTGAATCTGGACTTGATTGCATATTAATAAACCACCAGAAATGATAAACATTTTCAAGAGGTAGTAGAGGATATGAAAGTAGATTTTCTACTTTTTGAATAAGTTGATTGTCTTCTCTAACATATCGTAAAGACAGGAGGAGCAACCTGTGGATAGCAAAGCTTGAAGTTCTTTCAAACACAATTGTCTTTCCTTAGCTATGAGTCTTGTCTACAAGAAAATCTACTGGTAAGGAAAAAACAATATTAAGAGCCTATTATGCATTGAATGATTTGCATACCTAATTTTACTAATTTCTACTGAAAATATTCATTTTTAAGATGAGAAAATTTCAGCTTAGAGAGGCTGAGTAGCTGGCTTAAAGTCTCCCATATAGTAAGCAATATTTATATATTTAAATACTATATGAGATGGCAAACCCAAATGCATGCGACCACAGGATGCATCCTCCTTCATCCCATCACACAGCCTTCTACCTAGTGTCTTTGCACATCTATTCTTTATTCAAATCTCACCTGGAATGACAATGATGTGCAGGGAAGAGAGGGAAAGACACTCACACATTTGAAAGCCTTCATGAGACTCAGTTGCCCATGTTCACTGTAAGCTCAGGGTAAGACCATGTCTGTATTATTCATTCACCACTATATACTAAGTACCTCATTCTATACACATGGCATACAGAGGCCAGCAATATTTAGAGGGATTCAATAATTTTTGTTATGTTTTGAAAGTCATGAGTAAAAATCGTAGTTGGTGAGGGGAATGGAGAGAAAGACTGAAACTGTATTTTTGACGCTATTGGCTCACAGTTGAATTAACCTTTCCACCGTTTTTCCAGTCATTCATTCAATAAATACTTATTTTCATGAGTTCTGGGCATGAGGGATATAATAGTAAACATGTTGTCATCTTCAAGGAGCTGACATTCTCAGCAATCAAGAAATCTCACAATCAGTTTTGAGTCCCTGCAGCTGCCCTGTGAGATAGGTGAAGTGGGTGTTATTTATAACTTGCTGACTCTCTCCTATGTTGCAAACATGTCTAACTCATGCAATTTTCTTCGACAAAGTACATCAATGGCTCAAATAACTGAACATGTATTTTGTTATTCCAGATTCCCTTTTGTCCTCAACACAACATAATAATTTTGTATTATTTTATTCACTAATTTTCCTAACAGTGATGCACACATGCATACACATACACACCCTGCTACTACCGACCCCGATTCCATCCCTTCCTACCCTTCCACCACAGTGCTTAATTGAGAATTATCATTACTGTGTGTGATGTGCTTATATGGTTGACACCTGGGCCTTGTTTTATATTATTTTTAATCTTTCCAGTAACCTCAGGAAGTAGGTATCACTATCCTGGATTTAAAGATGGAAAAACTGCAGTTAAGGAGATGATTTTCCTCAAGACCGCAAGGCTAGTTAGCAGCTGAGTTCAGGTACCCGTGCATACCTGTCTTGGTCTTGTCTGGGTTTTCTTACTACATGATGGCTCTGGCAGGCTTTCTCAGACACGATTCTCTTCTGCCTTTAATCCATTCTCCACAGCTTCACCAAAGTTCTATTTTCAAAGCACAGGTTTGATCCTGTAGCTATCCTCACAAAGTATTAATGGATCAGCTCAGCTTTTAGGATAAAACGTGAAAACCTCTGCGTGAAACGCAGGGTCCTTCCTGACTGTCCCCAGACTCCTTTGCCAGGGTCTCCCAGGCTGCTCTTCCCCGCCAAGTGTTTCTTCCCACAACACAGCTGTCCTTTTCCTGGCTGTTTGTTCACACACTTCATCTCTGCCCTATCCTTTTTCTCTCTCTCTAGCAAAACCCCACTCTTCCTTTCATACCTACTTCAAAGGATTCCTCTTTTGGAAAGCTCTCTGTGGCTTCTCCAGAGAGTTACTCCCTCTTCTAGGCACCCATGGCACTATGTATTAACAGAGTCATTTGTCACATGGGTTTGTTTACTTGTTATCACCTTTGTTTACTTGTCTTCCCCTTTCTCCCTTACTTTCCCCTGCACCACTACAGTGGACTCCTCGAGGGCCGAACCAAGTTTCTATTTGCCTGTATTCCTGGAGCATAGCCCTGGCCTTGTCACAGAGTAAGGTCTGAGAAATCCTAAGTGAATGATAAGTGAAGCTTTCTTTCATGCTCCTTCCTCAAGCCAGCTGAAGGATGGCCAGAAGTGATCCCCGCAACTGTGAGAAGAGCCAGCCTCCGGGGTGGTGGTGGCCCCAGCCAACCTCGAGATATTGCCCAGTAGAAATGTAATTTTCAGATTGTCTTGATGTGACTTGATCATGTGATAATTGACTGATTGTGTAATGTAAAACAGTCTGGCTATGAATAGGCCACTCTCAGAGATGAAACGTAAATGAGAGACTGTCTGCATAATCAGTGTGTAAATGCAAGCATGGTACCCACATTCCTTTTTATTTTTAAAGAGCTGAAATGAGAAGAGCTTCCCCTTCCCAAGGCAGTCTCTCTCAGTCTCTCTGTCTTTCTCTCTCTCTCTTTTCTTCTCACTAATAAGCTTTGAACAATTTGGTGGAAAGGTGTGATATTGCTCTCACAGACAAATAACCAAAAAGTCATAATGTTGATGTGATTATATCTCACTGACTAAAAGGAATTAAAGGTAGATTCTTTTTATTAGTTTACTGATCCTGGGCATCCAACACCTCATAACTGCTCAATATATCATGCTAGTTAATCATTCTTGTCATTATCTTTAATGTCTTATTAGCGGGCTTCATTCATCTGGTTTTTATCTGTTTCATTGGAAGCAGTTTTAATCTCATTTCAGCGGCGCTGATGATAAGCCTGTTAGTTTGCACAAATTGGTTTTGTTGACAATGTGTAGATAGCAATAATGTGTGATTTCCAAATGGAAAAGAGAAATCTATACAAGTCCAAAAAGGCAGGTGAAGACAGCAAAGGAGCTGCGAAAGTTGGAGACGGTACCCTCAGTTTCCTAACGGAAAAGTAGAGAAGGTGGAAAAGAAAGTGAGAGAAAAATAAAACAGGAAACTCAGATAAATTGCTACAGCCCTCCCCCCACCACCACCTTTCACCCAGCCACAGGACTCAGGAATGCTAGCTGTGATAGCTGCATCATCAGACCACTGGGCAACCTAACTGACTCAACAGTGTCCCATTGCAGAGGTAGAAGAAGGTAGCATATGCCCAACTCTCAAGATTCCACTGAGAGTCTGTTCTCTGTACAACCAGACATCGTCCCTCACAGACCTTCTCGAGTCTTCCCTCCTGCTCTAGGGGACTTAATATGAGGCTGTCTTTGTGCAATTTATCCAGCTAATGGAGCAGCTTGATCACTTCCACCCAACATTAGATTGGCCTGACACTGGCCCTCTTAGAATAAAGGAGACAATAAGCCCATCAGGCTCTGACTCAAAATTGCATTAAGTGCAGATGTTAAAGTAAATACAGTTTCCTCTGGTTCCCAGATTACAAGTCATCTTCTGGCAAGGGGAAAAATCAATAACCCACCCATCTGAGCAGGAAATCTTGGAATGGCTATCTGATTTAAGAAGGCAGCCTCTCTTGAATTTCCTGATTCCTTCGCTTTTGGGGCCCAGGTACCAAAGCCAGGAAATGAGGCTTTGTGTGTATTACAGCACGGGCCCCTTTCTTGGGAGCTCTGATCTGGAGGCAGGTGTCTGAAAACCAGAATCACCCTCCAAATGGACTGAACTCTCTATCTGACACACCCTTCACAAATTTAAAAAAAAAAAAGAAAAAGGAAAGGAAGCATTTCAAGGGAAATGTGTGTCATAAAAGGCTTCAAAATCACTTGTCTCTGAGACAAACAAATACTAGCCGAATACAGACAGTCGATTACGTGGTGGTGTTTGGGGCGGGAGAGTGCTAATATTATTCCAAAATCCCAAACTGCCAAAACACTTTGCAGTTTCATTTTCAGTCCCTCTGCTTTTCTAGGAACGTTTGGTCCGTGTTTGTCTGATTCATTCTCACAACTCCAAATGTTCATATAAAGTCTGCTTGTAAGATCCTGAGACTTTTTTTCCAGAAACCCAGAAGGTTACATTTCCACCGAACCTAAGTGAAGTGGCAACTCCTCTCTATTTTAGAATGTGAAAGTCTTCACCAGACATTTCAGGTAGTCTAAGCTCAGAAATTCTCACAATCCTCCTTTATCCCATGCTCTGATATTCCTGGTTTAAAAGCATAGATATCTTGTAACTATTCTGTGTGAGCAAAGAGTTGGGATAAAGTTTAATACCCCGCTTCTGATCTGAGCCTCGGAGGAAAACGGAATCTCAAGACCACAGCACAAATAAACTGATTTCCAGCAAGTTCCAATAGCATACATTAGAGAGAGCTGAGCCCTGCCTCCTGAACGATGTGGCCACCAGGCGCTTGTTGCCAGCAGTAACATCAAGAATCCAGTAAATCAGCTAGATTTGCGTTTTTATTCAACTTTATGTTGTTCCTTATATGGAAATGATAGCTTAGGACAGCTGGGTACTTGCCTAGGGACATATGAGTATAGCGTCCATAATTGCCCAACCCAAATGGGGACATATTGCTTCTGCACATGGTCTGACAAGAGCATGGCCTTGTGAAGCCAGATTTGGCCTCTACAATCTAGGACCCAATACCAGCACGAGACAAACAAAGAGAGCCATGGAGCCTGCTGTCAGCGCTGTCTGTTCTGGAAGTTCTCATGGAGATTTAACTTGTACATGTGTGTCTTTGTTTCTCTTCTAAACCATGCTGCTAACTCTTTGGAACAAAGTGCACTTTTGCCCAGTGTGGTCTGCTTAACAGCCAGTGTGTACCATCTGTATTTAAATTTGTTGTCTTGTGGTTTTGGAGATGAACTGAAAACCTTTCAGTGACCACCCTCCCCTCCCCCACTGGATTTCCCACTTTGAAATCCAGCTTCTTAAGGTGAGGGCTCAGATCTTTGATTATTTTCTGCCACCCCACACTGCCACAGAATGCACTGCCAAGTGTCCACATAGCATTGAGAGTCTTGTGAAGATCTATGCCAGCAGCACCAATGCAAAGCCAAGCCTGCTTTAGGTGTGCAGAGGGTACCATACTTGACTAGAGAAGAAGGACCTCATTCCTCTACTCCTCCATGTCCTTACAATAACCAGAAACTGCATGTGTAAGGATGCCTATCTGTGTAAAGTGCCGAGTGCCTAGGAGTCAGATCCATTAATAGCCTGATCCAAGTTTGCAAGTGCTGTTGGAAAACAAGAGCCAGGAAAAACAGACATGTGGTAAATGGTCCATCTGCCTAGGTCTAGAATCCAGATATTGCCAACCTGATGTCAGGAACTCGGATGGAACTGCTGACTGGGGTTCCTGCCAAACTTCTTCAAAACTTTTTGCTGTACAGCTGACACCTATTTGAAAGTTTCTCCCTCCTTCATCCCAGAGAGATAATGTAAGGTTTATCTGACCTGTGTGCAGAGGAAAAACAAAAATAAAAGTAAGCTGTGAGGTCAGGAGCAGTGGCTCATGCCTGTAATCCCAGCATTTTCGGAGGCCGAGACAGGCAGATCACTTGAGGTCAGGAGTTTGAGACCAGCCTGGCCTACATGGTGAAACCCCGTTTCTACAAAAATACAAAAATTAGCCGGGCGTGGTGGCTTGCGCCTGTAATCCCAGCTACTCAGGAGGCTGAGGCATGAGAATCGCTTGAACCTGGGAGGTGGAGGTTATAGTGAGCCGAGACCATGCCACTGCACTCCAGCCTGGGCGACTGAGTGAGATCTCAAAAACAAACAAACAAACAAACAAACAAAACAGTAAGCTGTGTTGCTCACTCTCCATTAGCCTGTTCTATGGCAGTCACAGAACAGAGTTTTTGTGCCTCTGTCCTCGTGTGATTACAAACATCTCTCTAACTGCAGGTGGTGTCTGCTGATTCTCTGAGCTCCTCTCTGACAGCTGCTGAGGCCACAGACACCTGAGATGGAGGTGCAGATCCCTCGGAAGAGGCTTCAGATCTCACACCATCTCTCTGCCAAAGCTGGTTGCAGTGCTCCAGGACTCTCTGACGTTGCCTGGTGCTGGTGACAACCAGTGAAGCAGAGCTTTCTGTAACACCACTTCTTGTATTGAATTTATTGTAGAATCTGGACCCTGAAGAATAGGTATCAGAATTTTCCCTTTCTTTCTCACTGAGGTATTGTCCCAGACCAAGCTTGTACTCCTCGATCTTCTTTCTCTAGGACATAATCTCTCCCAACATATCCTCAGTATCTCATACAAGTGGATACCAGGGAGACATTGAGGGTGTCTCCCCAGGTGCCCAGTTTTAGGATAAAACAGCATAGGTTCAAAGTGAGACTGACCCCAGCCCTTGAATATATCCACAGCTACCCATCCCAGGGTTCAGGATACTTTGGGGTATTTCTTCCATTTCCCATTTGATCACATCTATCAAGTTAGATTTAACATTTGGGGAGATGTATGTAACCCAGTAAATGGCCCACTCTTCAACTAGATTCGCGTTCAAAGAAACCCAATCTCTTTAAGTTTTTTGAGAATTTTAATGTTTATCAGAGTCTCTTTCAATAAAAGTGTCAAAGGAACCCAATGCACAGCCCCCAGTAAAAATTTAAAATTCTCTTTCTCCATTCCTCTGATTCTAACTCTCTCCCACATGCCCTAGCTGATCTGAATCCTTTCCTCAAGAAGACATTCTGGTTGTCTAGGTGAGCTCTTGACTTTTCTCCTTCTTCTTCTATTCTTCTGTCTCTATTCTTTCATTCCTCCCATGAGTAAATCTGTCCTTTTATATGCAACCCCTCCGTCCTTGCTTCTCCTTTCGGTCTCTCACCACTCACTGCCAGAATTCTGCACCACAGAAGTCCAAGAGTTGGGCCTCAGAGGGATTCAGTAATATATCTCACAAGGTAGAAACCTTCCTAGAGAATGAGAGGTGGGAGAAGCTGAGCATGCCAAGACTGTGTTCTCTTAAGTGTTTGGGGTCTAGGGGGAAAGGGGAACTGTGACTCTCCCATCAACATTAGGTTGGTGCAAAAGTAATTACTTTTAATGGCAAAACCCACAACTACTTTTGCACCAACCTAATACTTTTTGTCTCTAATGCATAAAGATCAAGGCCGAGTTTAAAAAGGACTTTTAATCTTATGCCTCTCTCTATGGATTCTAAACCAGTTGAGAAATAGGCCCTGGAAGTATAAGGAAGTCCAAATATAAATTTATTTGTTGGTGAAACAAGATTGGAGAATCTTAGACTTGTGGTCAAAATAAAGCTCCTTACAGCTTTCTTTCATGCTCAATCCACAGGGCTCAGTTGGGGGGAGTGGGGGTTGAAGAGCTGACTGCCTCATGTCTTCCTGAGCTAAAGATCTCAAGGCCCAAGAGACAGAAGGACAACTAGACCCTCTTGCAGAAGGGCAGGGACAGAGGGCTGAGAAGGCCTGCAAGAGGTCAAACCATCCTTGTGCCCCTGCCTGTCATCCAGTCTCCCAGTCAGATAAATCGTCCTACTGCCATGGTCCAAGGCAAAGAGAAGAATGCGAAATCCCTTCCCAATACTTAAAAAGCTGTTTAAAAACCTCAATATTTGCTAAGTAAGATTATAAACATGGAAATAGGGAGAAAATACTCTGTAATTAATAAGCCATAGTTTTTGCCCACAAAAGCTCATTCTAGACATTGATCTTTCAAAAGATTACATTGCCTTTCTTCATTGAAAGAAACAGGCTAGGAAAGAATCAGAAAATAAAGGTTCTAATTCAGACTCTGCCACCATAGTTGGAGTTTCGTGTTGAGATTTGTTCCCCAAATTATCTCCCAGGCTCAGCAGCCCTGTCATCTCTACACCCAACCCCAAGGGCCAATCTGGGCCCAGTGCCCCGAGTTGTCACTTGTAAGGGAAAGAGAACACATCTTTCGTAAAAGTTTTATTCACTTAAAAAATTAGCCATGATCTGAAGGTCTACAGCAGTACAGTGGCTGAACAGCCTAGAGGGGCTATGAATTGTCCATAGAGCACTATCTACCTTTGTTCAAATCTTGACCCCATCACTCAACAGTCAAGTGACCTCTGGCAATTACTTAACCTCTCAATTTATTTCTCTGTAATATGGGGAATATTAACAGTACAAGCCTTACAACGTGGTTTTGGGAATCAAATGAGTTAATGTATGTCAAACACTTAGAACAATATCTGGCACATAGGAAGTGACATGAAATGTTTACCAGCATTATTATAGTTTAGTAAATTCAAGCACAGAAATAAATAGAAAATTGTAATGTCATCACCATCATTTTATGAACATTTCTAGCAACATGAAGATGCTTATGCTTCATAATTAAAAGTCAGAATTAAAATGTTAATGTGTCATTTTGAAACATGTTTAAAAAGTATAGAAAACATCTAAAATTGTAACAAAATGCTAATTGGTTATCTTGGATGGTCAGATGATGAAAAGCTTTAATTTTTCTTTATGTTTTCGTGCATGAATTTTCTATAATAGCATGTATTCACTGTAAAGAAGACAAAATGTTTATTTTAATATTTTAAATAATTTTGGTGTCCTGAGTGGATTTACCAGGCAAAACCATCTTCAACAAAATACCACTCTTCCAATCTGGGTATGTCACACATTATACAGACAATAAATCCTACTTTTGATGGAAGAAAAACATTCCTTTGCCAGCAATAAATTACTTTATTTCTATCCCCACCCTCTTACCCCACCCCACAAAAGTTATAAGTGCTGCTCTCTATGGTAGGTGTTTCTCCTGGGGCTGCATTCCATAGCTCTATGGTAGGTATCAAATTCTGCTATTCCTTTGAGGGTTTATCCATCCCAAAGACAGTTGCTGCTCGAAGCACGAAGCTTTGTGAACCCCACCTGCCCCCACCACCCAATACCACCGAGTCATATTTACCAAAGTATTAAGTATTTGATGACAGAGTGTGCTAAAGGCCAAAAATGACAGCTAAGTTCACACTTCTATTGCAGCTCCATTTTCCCCTGAAGGTAAAAACTATTTGGAATAATAACAAAACCTGAATAATTCTTGCCACAAGTTCAAGCCTCAGCCTCCAGATTTTTAACTCTCTGAGTTAAAAATTCCCGAGATAGGAGTTCCCACCTTGACCCTCATCTTTGAATTTTATTTCTAGTTTTGGGGAGCTGGAATTCTTCCCAGTGTTTATGTGATTAGCTTCTGTAAGCCAGAAGAGCTATCTGCTAAGGGGATCGCAGGACTCATTCTACTTGTTTCGGCATCCAACCCAAAGAAAAAGCAACTACCTGGACAAATGTTGTCATCCAAAGTTTAAATCAAGCTTGTCCAACTCATCTTATTTTGTTGTTGTTCTGTTTTGTTTTGTTTTGTTTTGTTTTGTTTTAGGCTCTTAGCAGCCTGAAGCCATGGCTTTTAGTTTCTGCCTCTAGTGATAAGTGGAAAAGAGGGATGAGGAAGGGGCTTTACTGGCCCAATCAGAAACAGAAACTAAGAATCCATTACTGTATTCTCTCCCTTGGATACCCCAAATCCATCATGAACTCACTCCCACCCTGGTTCAGAGCCCAGCATCAGAGAAGATTGACTGAGGTCCAGGCCACTCACACACAAGTTCTGCCTTGTCTTGCCTTTCTTGTTCCTTTTTATTCCATTGAGCTCATCAAAGCCCACAGAATAGTATAACTGGCAGAGTTTAGCCCTGCTCACCTTGCTCTACCCATCACACAACTAGATAGAAATAATAGTAGTCGTGACATAAACAAACACAAGAAGCATTCACTATGGCCAAGCACTATTCTAAGGTTTTAAAGATAGCAACTCATTTAATCTGCACCACAACCCCGTAAAGTAGATACCATTATTATCATCCCCATTTTATGGTTGAGGAATTGAGGTTCAGAGAGCTTACATAGCTTTCCCAAGTTCATGCGAAGCCAGGACTCATGCCGGCTCACATGAGGCAGGGACCCTTGGTCTGTTTAGTCACCATTCAGTGGTTTTTGACTTCTCCCCCTCAGAATATAAAGCTATTGCCTAGAATTCAAAAGCTAATAGCAGCAGCCAACACGCTTAGAACCTTCCTCCTAAGTCTGCTGGGCCAGACAGAAACTAAACAAAATACTGTAATCACAGAGGTGAAAAAAAAGAGTCCCTTTGACTTTATCTCAAAAACGTTTTCTGACCACCTGCCCTGTATGGCAGGTGTTGCAGGAAAGTCAGGGATGGATAAAAACAGGGCACTGTTTTCATGCAACTTAGAACAGAATAGGGGAAAATGGAAGAATGAAATATGTGTTGAGTATTAATACAAGTTGCAGGAAAGGCTTTTTATCTTTTTAAGGAGTAGGCACAGTACAATCATCAAACTGCAGTGAAGCAGAGACTCCTGGGCCTCCCACAGACATCCCTTTCACTCACCCCTGCCCTCAACATCAGACCCTCAGCTGAGGCTGTAATTATCAAGGGAAGGGGAAAGGAATGCATACTGGTTGATGATCTCATCGGTGCTTACAAGGATGCTAGCAGGAAGCCAGTATGAACCCCAGTTTACAGATATAGTTTCTGAGGCTCAGAGAGGTTCAATAATTTGCCTTAAAAACATAAAACTAGTATGCTGCAAATACAGGAATTGAAACCTGGTCTGGCCCCAGAGTGGATGCACCTCCTACTGCACCACACTCCCTCCCTCCACTAAATTGATTGCTGAGACTCATCTCCCAACAAAGCCTTTATCCATGGGTCCCGTTTGGTGAGTGATTGATGAGCATTTCTGAGCGATGCCAGCCCCTCCTCTAGGCCTGGCCTGGCTGCTTTGCCATTCCAGAACAAACCCACGTTTGATCTACGAGGCTACTTTCTTGCCATGAAAGGATGTGTCTCCCAAGTGACCTCTTCCTTGGTAGTTGGAGAGAAAGTGTGATAAAAAGCAAAAGCCGTGTCCTTTGAAGATAATTCATACATTGGCCAGTAGATAAGATAAAGTAGCTGGAAATCCAGCACAAGCTACAAACAACTCCACATTAAAGGCATCTGTGTTTAATAAAACTGATAAATCAAATGCTGTTAGGTGGCGTCTCCTGGCTATGTTTTAGGCCCATAATTGGTGCATGCGGATGATACAAGAATACAAGGCACTGAGCCAGCAGAGAGACTGCTAACCTCTGACGAGCCCCTCAAGTACTTCCAGGATTCTCTCCATGATTTGTTTGGAGAAGTTTGTCCAAATAGAGTCCCTTTCCTAGAAAAGTGCCAGGCTATCAATTTACATACTTAAATGGGGAGTGCGTCCTCTCTCTGGGTATCTTCAAGGACAACAAAAACACCAGAGAGGAAGGTAAAGGAAAGGTAGGAATGGGGAAAAAATGTAAGTACAGCATATTGATTTATTGTGCATTTCATATGTGCACTTTACATGCATTTTCTAATTTTCTCGTCATAATCCTGTAAGAGAGGTGGCATCATCCTCCTGTTGCAGGTGACAAAATATATGCCAGTTAAATGACTTGTCCAGTAGCAGAACTGATTGACTCCAAAGCAGGAGGAGAAAAAGCTAGAGCAGCTTGAAGTAGTCACTGTTGAGAAGATAGGACTAGGAAAACAGCTCCTCTAAACTTTAGGCTGGTCTAAGATTATTATTTAAAGATTGGAAACCTATTCGCATTAGGTAAGAGAACAAAAGTTATGGGTTTAGGTACAGAAGGAGAAATTGATATTAGGTATCTCTGAGGGCCAGGGGACCTAATAGGAAGTGGTGGAAATTTTTTGCCTGGAAAGAGCCTACATCCACCAGATAGTCTGGTGCAGTCATGTTGTAGAAAGGACATTAGATAAGGTCCATGCCCAGGCACTGGCTCTTACAAGCAGCCTGACTTTCAGCATGCTGCAACCTCTCTGACCTTCAATTTGCTTTGTAAAATGGAGACAGTAATAACTAATTTGAAGTATTTGTGGAAAGCAATAAATGAAATGATGTATGTAAAATGCTTGGTAAACACTAAAGTGCTATCAAGCATGGGGACTGTTATTATTCCACCTTTCTGGAATTTTTATACAAAATACAGCACAGAAACAGAGGAATGGACTAAATGACTTACTGTGGCTCCTTTTTTGACAACAGAAGTAGATTTTTGACAAGAAGTAGAGCTTGGGAGTGAAGTCAAGCTCTCTTTAGGGATGATCAGCTTTATAGTTTTCAGAAAAACCTCAGCCCAAAATAAAGATTCCTTATGACTCCCCCTCCCCAGCAAAAGGTTTCAGTGGCATAGTCAGCCCCATCTCTACCAGAGTTAAAGTGCCGTGGATCAGGTCAAGGTCAGCTGCCTCCTGCCAGGAAGAAAGACAATTAGGATGAGGAGTGAGTGTTATACCAAAGGGGGTTCATGATTTGGGGCTAAAAGAAATTGACCTTTTGCTTCAGAGGCTATTTAACTCCAAGAGATTCCAAGCTTTGCTTCCCTTCCAGGGGCCAACTTAAAAAAAAAAAAAAAAACAAAAACAAAACTGTGGCCTTAATTATCATAACAGAATGATTAGTCAGGGACAGATGGCTTAAGGTCTATTCCCCATTCTCCCTATAGCTTACACGATACACACTAAATTCATCTTTTAATCAATGTTGTAAATAGCTATCTCCTTTCATTAAATGAGAGATAGTATCAATCTTTAATGATCAGTAATATATAATGTCAGTTTCGTTCCTGTCTGATGTCTATGGGAAGAACTGTGCAAGCTGGTAGAAAGGGATAGGCTCAAAAATGTTAAAAAGCATATAGACATACAAGAATATATAAGTAGAAATTCATATAGATACACTTAGCATATGAATTAAATGATAAAGCAGTCTGAGATCATATCTGCAGTTTAATAGTGAGAAGCTCCAGCTACTTCATAACTACAGCCTTATTCTCTCAAAGCTCACATTGAAAGGCCTTCTGATTTTTAATAGGATAATAGCACTTTGGCCCTTTTGAAAGATGTGGGGTACAATTTTGATAAACTTTCCCACACCAGTCACCAAAAATCCTTCATAAGACTAACGAAATCACCAAAAGTAACTGCATTTATCGAGGAAGAACCTCGCAGGTTAAAGGCTAAGTCAGCATCAGCCTGGTACAGGAAAGTTGTTCTTGAATGGGAGACTTTAGCTCAGGCCACAGAGGCACTACCGGACGGTTTTCTTCTTACACAGCTGCTGAGCTTTTTGGAGAACCTTTGAAGTCGGCAGTGGTGGACTAACTCAGCCATCCCCTTTCACACTGCAGTCATTGTTGAGGGCCTACTGATGCAGAGACTATGTTCAGTATGTAATGGCAAATACCACTTTACCCCCGACTTTCCCTCAAGGAGCTTACTGTCAAGATGAGAAGACAGGGCAATGCTTCAAGTCACAAGTGGTGACCCTAGTTTGCCTGACCTTCATCAATAGATAGGTGGGATGACACAGAGTCACTTGGACCTAAGGATGTCCTGAAAAGGCCCAGTGAGAATTCATCAAGCCTCCGGTGTGTACTCATTTTTTGTTAGTGTTGGGCAAATGGACTGTTTGCAGAACATTATCTTAAAGCCAATTAACATCTTAGTGGTCAAAGGAATTTTCCATTTGCCTCTTGGATATCCAATCCCAGTCCTCGCAAGAGGAAATTTCAATGCCTACAAAAGCATAATGTTCAATATAGCACTGGAATTTAAACCTGAACTTCACTGTCAAAATGTAATATTGTCATCCTTTGCATTGCGGAATTATTTCTACTTTATAAAGAGTGTTCTATTTGGAGACTATCTCATCTTCATAGAATTTAGCCATAGAATCAATTTCCAAATATAATTTATTAACCTCAATTTACACATGAAGTAACTGAGGTCCAGAAAAGTTGTTCAAGACCACACAAAAATGGTGAGCAGAGGCAGGCCTCAGACCCAGGGCCCTCCAACTCCCTATCCAGGCAGGGATATGAATGTGTCAACTGCAGTCATCTGACATCAAGGTAAGAGGATGTGATTAATGGCTGTTTGCCAAGTATCCACAGATCCTAGGAGAAAAACACATTATACAAGTGCAACATATTAAGCTAATTAGTACAAGGGAAATTCCTTGAAGATGGCATTTCAATCAGAAGCTCTCTTTAGAGGTTCCCCAAACAGTAGGTAGCTCTGTAAAGCCAGTTTTTCCCGTGGTGCAGAAATCATAACCACAGTTTGGTCATGCATCTCGCTCAACACAGAGACCTGAATAGAATAAGAAACTGCTTTCAACTCACAGCGAGATGGGTTAGAGACTGAACATTTGCCCTAAACCTGCTTCACTGTAAATAAAACCAAGCTTTAACTCCAACTAAGGCTGGGTACTCTGGACAGGGGAGATAATGTAGAAATAATTGACGGTGATTTCCAGGAGAGATGGGGGCAAATAAAGGAATGTTTGTTGAATACCTACTGTGTGCTAGGCATTTTGCATGGATCCTAGCACTTCGTACTCACCACATCTTATGAGGAAAGGACGATTGTATTCTTCTAAAGGATGAGGTGGTCTTGCAGAGGTTAACAAATGTGCTCTAGGTCACATAGGCAGTAAGTAGCAGGCTCCCAACCTGCATCCAAGTACATCTGACCAAAAGCCCACGTTTTTCCCATTCTCAAGTCTAAGACAAGCCAGTCATTGAGATGATGCTGAGAAAGAACAGAGTCACATCTTAGAGAGAAATTTACCTCTGGCCATAATTTTCCACAGTAGGACCAGCTATATAACATATATGGAGCCCAGTACAAAGTAAATATGAAGGACTCCTTGTTCAAGAAGTATTAAGAATTTCAAGACAGTGACAGCAGAATATGAAATCAAAGATAGGGACCTGCTGAACACCAGGCAACGTACAACTGCACAGATTGTATGGCTATGAAGCTGGCGCTGCACCACTGAATCTGAAGGAATGAACAAGTGAGAAGGCAAGAGTCTTGGAGTTGGGGATGAATCTGGAAATTCATCCTCTGAAACAACTTCTGTGTGGTCCACAAGAGCCTCATATCTCACCAAGGACCTATTCACACACGTGTGAGCACGCGCGCGCGAGCGCACACACACATACAGGCACACGCGCTGCCTAGGGGAACTCACAGATCAAGACTGATAAAAATTACACGGCAAGGCCCTGGGGGCAATTGGAATCCTTTTTCTAATCTCGGGAAAATTCGAAATAGCATCCCGGTGACACAGCGAATGAGAGAACATCACCCCTATTGCAGCTGTCACTTGTATCTGCAATCTGGTGAATTATAGAGATTAGCCACGTCCAAGAATTACTGCACTTTTTGCATGGTTCTGTGCATGGCCCTTCTTAAGGTGGAATTGCTCAGGTTTGTACTCAGCCTCTGGAGAAGACTTAGGAAGTTCCGTGCTGCCACCTAGTGTTCAGAAGCAGGTGCAGGAGAAACCGCTGAAGGCCTCACTACTTCTGTAGGGGCTGGAGCCTTCCCAGAAGCCACGTAGAAGAACGCTGCAAAGCTTTCCTGGGCCTCAGGCAAGCTTATTTTAGAGGTCGCATCCTGCATTACTTCAAAGACACTAAAATGCACCCACATCCCACACTAAATAAATTTACATGTAGCTAAGAGTTGAGTTGCTTTTGAGTTAGTTGGCATGTTTTGTAGACAGTAGTTAAACATTGGTTTTCTTTTTGAATTATGGAGCCAATGTGAGGGTTTTTTGTTGTTGTTGTGGGGAGGAGGGCTTTTTCATATTTTCCTAAGAAAAATATTTGAAAAGCTCCTCGGCCCTAAGCTTGGTGCCTTTACTGGCCGCTACAGTAAGTAGACAGGAAAGCAGAGGAAGGCCATAGAAGAGAAAACATTGGCGATATTTGCATCTGGTTGCCTCTGGGGATCAGTCCACTACAAGCACTAGTCTTTAGTTATGTCCATGTAAAGTTGCAGCCTTGGGCTGCTGAATTTATGTAGAAGAGTCACAGGCAAACTGTGGCCAGGATCTATCACAACTTAGTATCAAGATTGTTTTTTATTTTATTTTATTTTTATTTTTTTGAGATGGAGTCTCGCTCTGTCACCCAGGCTGGAGTGCAGTGGCACAGTCTCGGCTCACTGCAAGCTCCGCCTCCCGGATTCAAGCGATTCTCCTGCCTCAGCTTCCTGAGTAACTGGGATTAAAGGCATGCACCACCACCACACCCGACTAATTTTTGTATTTTTAGTAAAGATGGGGTTTCGCCATGTTGATCAGGCTGTTCTCCAACTCCTGACCTCAAGTGATCTGCCTGCCTCACCCTCTGAAAGTGCTGGGATTACAGGTGTGAGCCACCGTCCCCGGCCCCAAGATTTTATTTTAAAATAACAAAAACAAGAAACTCCTGGTCAGGTGTGCTGCCTAATGCAATTCCCAGAAAAGGCCCCTGTCCTCCCACAGCTCTGTGAGCTGCTGACAGGCAAGAAGCCAATGACAAGTTTCATGTCCTTCCTTCCCTGAATCCCTCCAGGGAATGAAGAGAAGAGGGTGTGGAGAATGACTTTTAATTACATCAGACCATAAATGCTGAAACCCCTTGCACAGCTCTTGGAACAGAGACACAACATGCAAATGTTAATCCCCTGCTTCTCCCGCCTGGATTGTGCCTCTGCTTAGCAGGGACGGGCAACTCCTTGGTATACGAGCACAGAGGCAAAACCAGGAGGTGCAAACATAACCAGCTTCATTTAAATGAGGACAAACTGGAGCAGGAAAAGAACCGGCAAATTCATGTTGGAAGAAGCTAGAGCGGGCATAGCTAGCAGCCTGCTCTCTCGCACAGCTGAAGGAAATCTATGTGGATCACCTTGTTACTTATGGATGGGTTTTATAATCCTGCACCTTTGTGGATTTAAGAT
Source organism: Homo sapiens (assembly GCF_000001405.40). NCBI lineage: Eukaryota > Metazoa > Chordata > Mammalia > Primates > Hominidae > Homo > Homo sapiens. Next base: position 209,355,972 of record NC_000001.11, read on the forward strand.
TTCTGTAGATTTAGGGCAGGGTTTTATTCTACCAATTAGTCTTTCTTTTCCTCCCTCCCATTATGTGTTCTTCAAGCTCTTTAATTTTATCTTCAACTGCACTGGCCGAGACCGTTTCCCCCATTAACTATTTGTGATCACAGTTTACTGCAAGCCTGCTTGACCCAGCTTATATCTAAGGATTATGGGGTCATGTGATTCAGAGTTGGGAGAGAATAGAATCCAACTCCCTCCAGAGCCAGAGTCTTCTTCCCAAGGCTCTTTCAGACCCTGCCTCAGTTCTACTTCTTCAACAAGGAGGTTGTCACTTTCTGAGGAAGGCTGCTTCCTTTCAGTGGTAAAGAAGCACATCTGCAAGAAAGTTCTTTCTTCTCCTATCCCTTTAAGATTTAAACCAAGATGAGTGAGTGATGCTGTGTTTGGGAGTAGGCATTTGACTCCTTTCTGACACCACTGGGAGCCCCACACGGCCTTGGGCCTTGGCGGATTCCACAGGGAACTGACAACATTCTTTGGAGAGACACTGAAACAACCAGCCCCACTCTATCCTCTCGAAATGCCTCCAAGGATCCCAGACTTTTGTGAAAGGAGGTAGTCGAAGGACTCTAGGGACGCTTGAGCCTAGAAGACGATGAACAACCTCTTTCTTACACTTGAGTCAGGGCTCAGTTCTGCTCTGAGATCCTGCAACTCTTCTTTGTAGACACCAGCCAATGGCACTCTTGAAATTTTTGAAAACAGGATCCTACAGAGACTTGTGTGTATATCTCCACAGACCAAGTATTAAACTACCACTTCAGCGCCATGGTTCTTTGTGATTTTAAATGTGGGTGAGTGGGTGTCCAAGTGCTGAAACCTCAATTCTAGGCTTCTGAAATCTAGAAGGAATAACCATCTGAGTGTGAAGGAAAGAACACAATTTCTTTAAACTCTACACCAGCTGCACAAAAAGAGAGAAGAAAACTAGAAAATTAGCCCTGAGTTTCTGCATCAGGTGGAAGGTCAGCTTCAGAGAGTAGACTGTAGCTCCTGGAATTTGATCCTTCTATTCAAAAGCAAGTGACTGTGGGCTGAGTAGCTCCTGGGCTTGGTGCTACTCAAGGGATATAGGAATGCGCAAGGTAAGCACAGATCCCTAGCATTCCCAAGTTTAAAGAGAAGGAAACAATTAAACAACTAAAAATAGTCTCGAAACCAACTTTACGGAGTAGTGATTCTTCATAAGGAGGATCTCTTAGCCTACTGCTGATTGTGCACATTCCCCAACTTTAACTATGGCCTAAGAAAGATTGTCCCTAAACCAAAAGCTCTTCCATGTCCTACTCCTCCTCCACCCAGCAGAGCCCGATAGAGGGCGGTGATTTTACAGGCCTGAGAAACGTGTTGTGCTCATTTTCTACTGCTGCTGTAACAAATTGCCACAAATTTAGTCATACAAATTTATTCCCTTACAGTTCTTAGGTCAGAAGTCTCACTGGGAGTCATGAGAGAGGGCATCCTTGTCTTGTACCAGTTGAGGGAATGCTTCCAGTTTTTGCCCATTCAGTATGATATTGGCTGTGGGTTTGTCATAAATAGCTCTTATTATTTTGAGATACATTCCATCAATACGTAGTTTATTGAGAGTTTTTAGCATGAAAGGCTGTTGAATTTTCTCAAAGGCCTTTTCTGCATCTATTGATATAATCATGTGGTTTTGTCATTGGCTCTGTTTATGTGATGGATTACATTGATTGATTTGTGTATGTTGAGCCAGCCTTGTATCCCAGGGATGAAGCCAACTTGATCGTGGTGGATAACCTTTTTGATGTGCTGCTGGATTTGGTTTGCCAGTATTTTATTGAGGATTTTCGCATCAATGTTCCTCAGGGATATTGGCCTAAAATTTTCTTTTTTTGTTGTGTCTTTGCCAGGTTTTGGTATGAGGATGATGCTGGCCTCATAAAATGAGTTAGGGAGGATTCCCTTTTTTTACCATGGAATACAATACAGTCATAAAAAAAGGATGAGTTCATGTCCTTTGCAGGGACGTGGATGAAGCTGGAAACCATCATTCTCAGCAAACTAACACAAGAACAGAAAACCAAACACCGCATGTTCTCACTCATAAGTGGTTGTTGAACAATAAGAACACACAGACACAGGGAGGGCAACATCACACACCCACGCCTGTCCAGGTGTGGGGGGCTAGGGGAGGGATAGCATTAGGAGAAATACCTAATGTAGATGACGGGTTGATGGGTGCAGGAAACCACCATGGCATTTTTATACCTATGTAACAAACCTGCACATTCTGCCAATGTACCCTAGACCATAAAGTATTTTAAAAAAAGAAGAAGATGTCTCACTGGGCTAAAATCAAGGTGTCAGCAGGGCTGTGTTGCATTCTGGAGGCTCTAGGGGAGAATTTGCTTCTTAGCTATTTTTAGCTGCTTAAAGCTCCCTGCATTCCTAGGCTGGTGGCCTCTCCCTCCATCTTCAAAATTAGCAGTGTAACATCTAGCAGTGTAAATCTCTATGACTCTGACCCTCCTAACTTCTTCTTATAAGGACCACTGTGATTACACTGGGCCCACCCAGATAAACCAGGATCATCTCTCCATCTCAGGCTCTTTAACTTAACTACATTTTCAAAGCTCCTTTTGCCATATCACCTCACATATTCACAGGTTTTAGGAATTAAGGTGAGGACATTTTGGAGAAGGGGCCATTAGTCTGCCTACTACGTGTGTCATTTGTTTTTTAAAACAAATAATCCATGTTCACTATAGAAAAATTAGAAGACACAGAAAAGTTTAAAATTACAGACTACAGAAAATAACCACCTTCAAAATAGCTCCACTTTGTTCGTTAAAAAAGAAAACCTGACTAAATATTCTCACTTTATAATATAATATGATCATCCTTCCACATCAATAGATATAACCCTATGTATCAGCATTTTAATGACTGTACAATGTTCTACTATGATATTGTACTATAATTTTTGAACATGTAGGTTTACAGTTTCCTGTACACTCAAATAATGCTGTTATCAACAATCCTGCTTATGCATATTTGTACATTTGTCTGATATCTTCTGAAAGTGAGTTTCCAGAAACGTACTGGCTATGCCAGTAGCTGTGGCTCCTTTTAAGGCTTTCAATATCAATGGCCAAAGTTCCCTGCAGAAAGCTTGAGCCAATTCACAGACTCTTCTTCAGAGCTGGGGACTACTACACCAGGAGCTCAGAACCCTGGACAGAATCAAACGTTCAGTACTTTACCAAATTGATAGATAATTGAAATTCCATCTTTGTTTTAATTTGTATTTCTTTGATAGACAGTAAGGTTGGACATTTTTCATATATTTATTTTCTACTTATAGTTCTTCTCTCACCACTTTATGTCCTCTCTATATTAAAGTGCTTATATTTTTCTTCATTTTTAATAAATCTGTATGTTAACCCTCTGTCATACTTTCTACAAACAATTTTCTCACCTTGGCATTTTTAAATTTTTTATTGAGTTTTTATTGCATGGGGTTTCTATTTTTCTTGTAGTTAAGTCTGTCGATCTTTTTATTTAAAGTGTCTGCCTTGAGTTTCATGCTTAGTATCATGGCATCACAGTATCATGAGCCTCACTCAATTTAATATTATAGAAACAATCTCTGCTGGGGTTAGTCATCCATCTTGATTGTTTTGCCCAAAATATATGTTGGTCCATTTGCTACAAGGATTCTGTGAAAGCAGCCACTTGAAACATGAAGATGCAACTCCCTGTGAGGTTGACAACAGGTTCTAAATAACAAGCATATCGTGTGGTTATGTGCAAAGCCTTAGCAGCGGTGTCTTTAATTGGGGTTATGAGCGAGGTCCTAATTCATTGTGCTTTTTAAATGGAGTAAGGAACCTTCAGAGAGAAAGAACCTACCACCTCTTTCTATTCAATTGTGATAAATATGACCCAGCTTGTGCTTTTCATGGTGGAACAGTTTATTTTAATTTTCCATGTCATTTATTTCCCCAGCTCTTTGGATCACTGAGGTGTGGGCAGAGATTCTATGAGATGAGGTCCAGGCCCATGGAGTTCTTGGCTCTGGCTGTGCCGCTCTAGGCTAAGGCCAATAGGGATCGGGGGAGTGAAGGGTTTAGGAAAGTAGAACTTAAAGAAGTAACTGCAAATGACCTGTGGACTACTGCCCACTGCTCGGGGGGAGACATTTCTTTGTTCTTGTCTCACCTGGAGGGGTAGCTGTGGACTTACTCTGCACGTGTTTTCTGCTGAGTCTGGGCTGGTGAAGGAAAACCAGGCTGGCATGGAGGGGACCCTGCTTACCAAACAGGTTTTGCCGCACTGCAAAAACCTAGATTTAGAAATGAAAGTACTTCTATTTTCCTAAAAGTCTGAGTCCCAGAACTTTCCATTGAATAGAAGAATTATATACAGAATTAACTTCCTCCCTGCCTGGGTCTGCAAATGTGGGAGTAAAGAATCCACTGGGGACCAAGCCCCATTACCAAGGACATCCCTCATTAAGTAGGAAAGTGGACCTGCTCTTTAGTTCATTTTCCCAACAGGTGGTTATCGAAGGCCTGCTTCTACACCTTTGTTTATGCCGTTCCCTCTGCCCAGCATGCCTTCCTATGCACCTACTCCATGAGATCATAATTTTCAAGCTCCAACTCAATATCTGCCTCTAACTTAAAGCCTTACTCAACATTTCTCCAACCTTTCCATCTCTTCTCCATCTTCCTCCTCTCAAGCCCACTTATACCAGTATTGTTTAGTGGCTTTGGAAGCAAATGAACTTGGGTTTAAACTGATTATTCCACCTAATCCTTGGTACAATTAGAATTTGGGGGATATTGACTTAATAGCTTTGAGCTTCAGCTTCTACATCTAGAAGATGAAAAGACACTACCTTACAGAAGGGTGTTGCTTTGTGAATTAATTGAGATAATGCATGAGATGAGTAAGAGAAGGTCTCTGACTTCCATGTGCTTATATTAACTGGTTAAAACCATAGCACAAGACAATAACACTATCAGAAAAGGGACACAAAATGCTTCAGCAGTACAGAAAAAAAAGAGGTCTTGTCAACCTGGAGTGATCAGGAAAAGTTAATGGAAGCGGGAGCGTTAAGCCTCTTAAGGGGTAAAGTCTACCAGGTAAAGCTTCTGGGAAGGACAGGGTTGATTGAGGGAACTCTGTAAGCCAAAAGTAAAGAAGCAAAAATCAGACTCTGTCCAGAGAAAAGGAAATAGGTTTCAGCAGAACTGTTAACAAAATAGAATTTTGTTTTTAAATTTTAAAGCTTCAGAAACTAAAGATCTCTAAGCATAAACTGATATCATTAGAATTATTTTGAGAAAGATCAACTTAGTGATTGAATAAAGTTTAGAGGGTATTCACTAACCAGGTAAGAAGGAAATACAATCATCCATTTTGAAAAAACAAAACAAAACAAAAACAGACTTAATTCTGGAGCCAATAAAATTACAACAAATTACCCAAATTACAACTTGACTGGATGTGAGGAAATGGATGGAGGTGTTAAAGAGAACTTGGAGTATGGTGGCATGGTGGGGGCGTTAAAGAAAAATCAACCCTTAGAGAACCACCGTTTGACATGCTGGGATGGAGATCCCAGGAGAAGAAACAATCCAGTGGGAATTAGAAGCAGTAGAGGTTAGGAAAATGGTTGGCTCACAAGATAAAACTTTGGAGTTTATTCACATAAATTAGTCAGTGGGAATTATGTGGATGGATGAGATATCCAAAATATAAAAGAAGACCAGTGACAGAATCTTAAGTAATTTCTACAGTTTAGGGAGCAAGAAAAGGAAGCAAGACCAGGATAACGCAATATCACATCCATATCTGCTTGTGATATTTTTCCTTCATCTGCTATTTTTCCTTCATTCTATGAGGTTCACTTCATTTATTTACATTACCATTATTCTTCAAGGTGTAACACAATACTAACATAAAGTAATTATTAATAGTTTGAATTTATTGAGCATGTACTGGGTGCCAGGCATCACCCAAAGTATGGATATGACCTCTTTCCCATAACCACATGATGCCAGTGCATTAATTATACCCATTCCACAGATGAGAATTCAGATTCAGGGAGGTTTAATGATTAGCTAAGGTTTAACAGGTAATAAACCAATCCAGGTTGTGTGGCTCCAAAAATCAAATTCTAACTTCTTTGTCACACTGCCTTTAATGAGTCCCCAGTATCTTTGGGATAAGATGCAAAATCTTTGTTTTTATTTATTTATTTATTTTGAGACAGAGTCTGGCTCTGTTGCCTAGGCTGGAGTACAGTGGTGTGATCTCAGCTCATTGCAACCTCCCCCTCCTGGGTTCAAGCGATTCTCCTGCCTCAGCCTCCCAAGTAGCTGGGATTACAGATGCCCAACAAGATGCCTGGCTAATTGTGTGTGTGTGTGTGTGTGTGTGTGTGTGTTTATTTTTAGTAAAGACGGGCTTTCACCACGTGGTCAGGCTGGTCTTGAACTCCTCAGGTGATCCACCCACCTCGCCCTCCCAAAGTATTGGGATTACAGGCATGAGCCACTGTGTCCGGCCAAAATCTTTATTTTTTAAAGCCCTATGTGTGATCCCAGAAATACCCTATATGAGAATCTTGCTATGTACTGCAGTGGTGAGTAGCAAATCTGGCCTCTGCCTTAATAGCACTTGTGGCTTTGGACTAAGTGCTCAACCTCCTGGGTCTTCGTTACCTCTTCTTCAGAACAGAGATAACACTCACCTTACAGGATCAGTGTGAAGGTTAAATGAGGAAGGCATGAGTAAAGTGCCTAGGAGCTTTTGCTATTACTATTATTGCTGTTATTGATAGGCACTCTCCCACCTCCATTGATAACTCCCTCCTCACCATGGACCTAGTCTAAATTTCTGTCTGTGAATCTGACTTCTCAGGTAGCATTCATCTGTGGTGCTTTTTAATTGAATGGACTGCTTATTCCCAGGGAAGCAGCATTTTACAGCAGGGCTTAATGGTCGTAGAATGTCAAAGGGGTTTGCATATCTGGGGAGAAACAACTTGACCCACTCAAACTCGGTTAGATAAACCATGCAGCTGATGAATGAGACTGGCCCAAGCCCTCATTCCTTTCCTCTTTCTGATCTGCCTGCCTAACAATGCCAATACCCTGACTTCTGTTCCCTATGGGGGTGAGCAAGAAGCAGCAGGAGTACACCTCAGCTCCAAGAGAATATGCCACCTGAGCATACACTGTCCCCACACCGGCCAGCTCCTCCCCTTCCCCACCCCAAGCTGATGAATCGGGTTTGTTGACATTTGGGGCCTAGTCCCATGAACAAAGCTAAATTCCCTGAAGCGCGCTGTCTCCCAAGACCTTTCCCTTGAATGCTACAGCATCTGCTCCTGCCAAACCTCACTCCCATGTTCCACTTCCAAAAGGGGAAAGCATATGGGCTGCTATTTTTTGCCAAAAACTGATCAGAGAACAGAACTCAGTTCTCATAAAAATTGCACAGTACCTACTTCTCTTTCCTTGCTGACAATAAAAATGAAACTTGAGTTCAGGGAGCTATCTTTCAGGAAGGAAATATTTTTCATTCAGATCCAACTCCTAACTCTGTCAATTCTCACCTGCTCAAACATCCTGACTGCCAAGGGAAAAGACTGTAAATAACTGAAATTATAATTTTGTTAATAATTATATTTTATACACAATAATTTCTAGATATTGTCACTGAAATCCATTGATAATTTGAGAAACTTCCTTACAGAGGTAGAAAGGAATCCACAGTATTTTTTTTCTATTTTAATTACTCACTGAATACAATCTGAAAGTGTTTAATTATTAGATTTATGCCTCAAGATGAGTTCAATGGTAATTACAGGATGTCTTTTTTTATTCTAATTCCAAATAATTAAATCCCAAACACATTAGATCATTATGATTATAATTAGAATAAAGGTGTCTTACATTTGAAACCAAAGTTTGGCTTTTTGTTTAACCTTTTTTGTACCTCATCAAAGGGTAACGCCTTGGAAAGAAATCTGTTTCAATCTCTCTAATGCTGCTTTAAAAGAAAATTTTAAAAATTGTCTGCAGGAAGGCTTTTCCATTGCAATATTGGCAGGGAGAAGTGAGCACTGAGCCTTCGGGTTGCTTGAGTTTCCAAGGCATGCTGACTTTCTACTGCCATTTGTCGTCCTCGGACACAGAGAGAACTCAGAAACCAGGCAGTAAGGTGACAAAAATGCAGCGGGAATATCAAGGCAATCAAGGGAGAGGATCCGTAAAATAATCCATCACCTCCTCCCACCCCAATTTGTCAATCAATTTGGGGGTAACTTTTTCTGAGCTCCTCTACATTAAAGATAAATGGATGAAGATGGGCTGGGATTGGTTAGAGACCTTAGAGAAAGCCACACAGAGACCAGAAAATCTAAAGCAAAAATTCACAAAATAAGACCTCTGACTAAGGCTCAAAAGGTCTTTTATGCTTGGGCCCAATAACTAATTGAGAGAAAATATGCCCATATTTTTGGTTGTGTTGATAAGGCTGTTGAAACCCTTGCTAGGATGGCTCAAACAGCGTATGAAGTTAGCTTATCATCCTTCAGGTATCTTTGCACCAGGCTTTGGGATTTGGGAATGGGTAAGGGTAATACTTTGTGGTTTCAAGGGGGAGTTGCAGGATGAAGGTTCAGGAAGGAGAGGAGACACACCTTTTTAAAAAGAATAAATAAACGCATATGTCTTCCCCTGCCTGGTAGACAGGAGGAGAGCACTTGCTTATTGGAAAGCATTTGAAGGATAGGGAGGTGAGAGCCTGGGAGGAGGGAAGCAAAAAAGCTATAAAGAGAAGGCCAGAGAGCAATCCTAATACTTAGAAAAATGTCACATTAAAACCTCAGCTGCCGGTGGCTGGAGGGAAAGGAGTTCCAGACAATAGCTGAGGGGACAAGTTGAATCTTGTGTTCATTCCTGTGGTTAAAACAAGTCTGTACGACCACAAGGAAAATTCCATTCTCCTCAGACCTTAACTCCCTGCTTACCTGAGCTGCAGAGACATTTTGTTGAAAGGCTCCTTAAAGTGGGAACTGATAATGCACAAAGGCCTGGTGGCCCTCCTTCCTTAACCTTTCTTCTGTGCCTGCACCTTCACATCTTAAGAATTACCTCCTTTCCTTTGAGGGGCCTGATAACCACTTTGACTACAGTGTAAAGAATAAAGCAGGGTTCAGGAAAAGAACAAGCCCCCTCGACACCTTCCCCACTCTCCAACCACAACCTACACTCGTTTTCCAAACCCTGAGACCTGTAGATGGCAAATAAAATTTTTCACTAATTCAGTAAGTGCTTATTGAAGGCCTATAATGCTTCAAGCTCCATACTAGGCATTTACAGAAGACAACCAAAATCAAGCTATTATGAAGAATGTCCAAGTCAGGAGGCCCAAGATATATGAGATTCCATATGCTGCTGATTGTATGACAGACACAGTAAATGTTGTACATTGTGACCATTGAATGCAGTTGTTTCCCTTCCTTTTTGGGGGTTTTCATGAGTCCAGCTGACAAGTGGGCTGCCTGCTCAAATCAGTCCAGCCAAGCATTGCTCTTCCTCATCCAAAATCCCAACATCTGCTCCTTTCTTCCCTCCCATACAAGCCTTAGGTCACCTTGCTCTCCTATTAGAAGAAGGAGATTATCAATAATTGTCCTGGGTCCAGGGGAAGATGGAAAACGAGTTTCCTGTCTTAACTCCTTTGATTCCTACTTCAGCAAGTTCTGATGAACACACCTAGGAGAGGGAGAATCTACTCACAGAGGCATGGATGATGGTAAGATCAAGCATGTCCCCACAGTGAGAAAAAAATAACATCAAGAGTATAATGCTATAGGCCAGGCACGGTGGCTCATGCCTGTAATCCCAGCACTTTGGGAGGCCAAGGTGGATCACAGGTCAGGAGATGGAGACCATCCTGGCCAACATGGTGAAACCCCATCTCTACTAAAAATACAAAATTTGGCCAGGCGTGGTGGCATGTGCCTGTAATCCCAGCTACTCAGGAGGCTGAGGCAGGAGAATTGCTTGAACCAGGGAGTCACAGGTGGCAGTGAGCCAAGATCTCACTACTGCACTTCAGCCTGGTGACAGAGCGAGACTCCATCTCACAAAAAAAAAAAAAAAAAAAAGTGTAATACTATAGAAAGCAGGTATGTTTGAAAGACTGTGGCACTTAATGGAGATTGTAACTTATTTACAGTTGAACTGGGAGAGATCTGTGACTTGACGTGTCCTCTGTATTCATCTACAAAACTTTCCATACACCCCAATATGTGTTTCATAATACACAAAGAGAGCTATAGGAACTGACCAGTGCCCTCAGGGAGCTTATGGCAGTGATGTGCTGGTAAATTTTAACGATCAGTTTTTCAAGGGAAAAAAGTTCTGCTTTCTAGCTTTGGCCAATTTCCATGGTGTAAATATTCCCGCAGTGGCTGATTTTTAGAAACCAAGAAGGTATCACTGAGAGAGGAGATGGGAAGATATGTGCATAGTCAGCTCTTCCTAGGTGGTATGAGCTGGCTCCTGAACACCAGTGGCTTAAATTCTAGTATATTGATACAGATAAAGACAGGATACAAAGGCAGCACCTCCTGATCAATTGACTGATTGACATGGATGAAAAATCTTTAACCAAGACTCAAGGAAGAACATACTTTAATGGTAGCAGGGCAAATGATGCTAGGTGAACGGTATCTGACTGTATTGCCCCTTCTGGTTCCTCAGAAGCACAAAGAACCATGGGAAAGACTACAAAAACTTTGGAGAGAATCAGAATCAATCCTCCACCCTGCCTCTTAGAGAAAGGGAAACTGAGACATGCAAATGTGAAGTGCTTTAGATTGTCTTTGCTTCAAACATACCATTGTCATGGATAGTTTTGGTTTCCCTGCCATTGGGCTGAGGTATTGGGCAGAAATGTTGCCAATTAACTGCATGATTGAAACAGGAAATCATTCAGAATTCACTGGGGCTCTCCAAGCACCCGTAGAGGACAAGTGACTGTCTGTACAGCTGATGGAGAGTGGGTGAAGGTACCACCAGCATGAAGGCACAGACTCTGTCTGAATTTCTTATTCAGTAACTTGCCCCAGACGTAAGCCTTCCTGTAGAATAGAAACAAACTGAAAAGTCTGCCAGGCTCTGGCTGGCTTAGCCTTTGAATCATTGGTGAGAAATAAGCTCTGTCTAGGAAGGGAAAAAAAATACATTCCCCTGTGAAGAAACCCAGCAGTAATTTTCTGGGCGGGAGAACTACTGCTGCATCTCTTGGGCAAATGTAATGGGATAGCAAAGTCTTTGGTGCTGAGGAAGCTCCAGCTCCTTTCTGCCTGTAATTCATGATCCCTGAGACAATTATGAGCAATGAAAAGGCATAAGTCAAAGGAACATCGAGCATAGCTAGATTTAGGAAAATAACACATTACATTTAAATATCCATATATATTTAATCTGTGTTTAATAATGCAAGGAATGCATTAGTCAAGGCTTAGGCAGATTACACATTTACGTTAGTTACAGAACAGCCTGGCCCTCTGATGTTCCCCAGCCTTGGCGCCACAGGAATGAAAACTTCTGGAGGAATGGAGCGTGTCATTGCAAACCTGGGGCACTGCGGAAATGCAAATGGAGAAATTGCAAAGGTCATCACAAAGTCAGGCTTGCTGCAGAAGATAGCACTGTGGGTGAACAGGAGATACCCAAAGCTCCAGCTTCTGGACTGACTTACTCCATTTGCTACCTTCTGTAAGGCACGGCTGGGGGTAGGAAGTAATGTCATAGAGAAACAGAGGGACCAGACTCTCTATTCCAGCTGTTGTTTTATCTCAGATTTTCTCTCCTATGCTTAGACTTTAAGCCTAGATGACCAGATGGAGAATGGCTGCCCAGGCCGCTAGGGAAAATCAGGACATGTCTCCAGGGGCAAATGCCTAGGCTCCAAAGCTCTTGCTACCATCTAGAGGGATGAAGCAGGTGAGTGTAGTCAGGGATGAAGGAGGAATGACAGGCATGCCCAGCCTTTGGTGCAGTCATGGTCCTCCAAAAGCTGGAAAGGGAACCAGTGGGGACATGATGCCGTATCTGCCAAATACTGTCTAGGACCTGGAGAGAGGGATTAAGAGGCTATACTGCCCAAGAAGCATAAGAAATTCTCCTGTTTGATTTGGCCATCACTCAATATAACAATCATAGATCCCCAAGCACTTTGTCCTTGTCATGACTCCCTTACTCCACTTGGGCAACTCATTCCCCAGACTCTAGAGTCCTGCTCTGTGCTCTAAGTTACTCCCAACCTCGACTAAAGCAGTCTCAGGAACAAAGTTACAGGAAGAAAATATCTCAGAGGCCATCTAACTCAATCTTCTGATTTTACAGATAAGAAGACTGAGGCTCAGAGAAGCAAAGCAGCCCATCCAAGTTTCCCCAATGAGTAAGTAGATAACCAGGATGAGGTCCAAGTCTCATTCCAGGGATCTGGCCATATACAACACTACCCTTCCTATTAAGCACTGTATCAGTTTTGGTGGTCTGTAGTAGAAGGAAGGCAAGCATGCATTAAATGCCAGACACTCTGCTAAGAGCTTGAATATACATTATCTTTAAAAGTTATAAAAATATACAAAATATATCTTTAAATATATAAAAATAATAACCTACTCAGTAAAAGTTTACAGTCAAAAAGGAAGCTTAGCTCTAATTCTGGCTCTGCCACTTTTCAACTCTACGATATTGGGTTGGTCACTGCACTTCTCCAGGTATCCCTCTGCCCCGACATCTGCAGAGCCTCCCTACTTCATCCACTGAGTCACTGAATAGGTGCTAGTCTAGTGCAAAGCACAAGTGAAGGGATAAGGCAAAGGAAACGTAGATGGGGCAGCAAATGAACGTGCCCCTCACTGATGCCTGGGAGAAACAGAACTGTGATGAAGTTGCAGATGTGGCCCAATCCATACTTTTTAGTAAGTCACAAAACACGTCTATTTTCCCATCTGTACTCTAGAACTACTCATCCTAACTCCATCCCTATAAAAGTCATTCCATGAGTCAAAACACGCCAATCTGTCCCAAGAAAAGGACAACAAGGAGTATCTCCCTAGTTTGTTTCAGGCTTCCTTTCAACGACTGATTCCCTCAAGATTCAAACTATTAAATATCTGAAATCTAATCTCACACAAGGCTCCTGCCTGGGAGGGAAAGCCAAATTACCTCTTGTGTCTCTTTAGGTTAAGCACAACTTTGAGGAGTAGACTCATCCTAGCAGTTGGAACTTGGAAAAAAACATGAGCTGTGACTCACCAGTCATTTTGAGCCAAGTATTTTGAATTTGCTCAGGGCAGGAAAATGGCCAGGAGGGTGGGATGGGAAGGGGAGGGGAGGACTCATATGGCTAAGAACTATCTGACTCTGTTCCAAAAAGGCAAGTACGGGGGAGACTCTCAGAGCGTATGTTCCTGTTCCTGTTGTTTCACTGCCAGGAGTCTCCTAAATCACTGTGAAATGACTGCTTTCTGCCTACCTCGATCATGTATTATGGAGCATTAATAAATAATGGGAGGTTGTAGGACCAAAAGGCGGGAAAACCCAAAGGGAAGGTGATGGACAGGCAAAATTTAACAAGTAAATGAAAGAAGCTATTAAATCATAGTTAAATTATGCTGGCACTGGCAAAAAAAAAAAAAAAAAGAGAGAAAGGATTTCCCACTGCAAAATGCTTTCAATAAAATACTGAAATTTCTCTTATGGCTGACCGAGGCATCTTCCAATCATAAGGATAAGGATTCTGTGGCCTGTGGCTCCCATTAAATACTGAGCTTGGGTAGGGTCTCTGAAGACAGAGTTTCCAGGTGCTTCTCAGTACACAGCTTTCCTAGGATGGGTCACATTCACTATTAAATGCCCCATCTATGATGCAGAAATTGCTAGGGACCTCTGTAGCCAGTTCATGAATTCTACACCTATTTCTCTATTGACTCCCTGGTGCACAATTAGGGGGTCCCACCTAAGGGGAGGAGAAATTGAGGTTTCCAAAGTTGTGACTTAAAAATAACCCTTTGACTGTAGGTACAAGCTTATGCTTTCTCAAGTACCATCACATCTATTAACAATTTTGCATTTGCTACCACCTATCAGGTAGAAGGGGAACTCTTTCAGTGGGGAAGCCATATCTTGTTCATTTTTGTGTGCCCCAAGCCTAAAAAAATGCACCTTTAATAAATATTGAATTGGATGGATAGATGGATGAATGGATGGGGGTGGGGGCAGGGTGAATGAATGAATACTCACAGCTGATAGGCTCAGAGAGGTTAAGTGACTTGCCCGGGACTGAACTACACAGTGTCAGTGTAGTAACCAGCAGCCAGGCTTTCAGAGTCTCAACCCTGTGCTCTTTCAACACACCATGATGTCTCTCTTCAAGATCACATAGTAAACTGGATCAAAGCCAGTATATGGGACCCCTGTAATTCCACACAAGCGAAAAGCAGGCACATTTTTCTCTGCTGGGATTGTAATTTTGACTGTGGCACAGACTGACATTCAGCATTTGAAGGACCTTTAGGGTCTCTGCATCTCAAGAAAGTTTTTGCAATTCCCTAGCGGAAGATCCACACAGAAGCCAGGACGCTTTGCAATGAGGCTCTTGGTTTTTTTTTTTTTTTTTTCCCAGGGATATTTGCTTTGGTCTTGGCAGAAAAACTTGCTGTCATTCAATTTCTCAGACATGCTGGGGCCCCAAGCGCCAGTGGGAGAAGCATATGTACCAACACGCCAGAGGAATACAGTCACAGCAGAGTAGATTTGTTAGGACAGGCAGGCTTAGTGGTCTGACAAGGTGTGCAAGACACTCACCCTACTGTGCAGTTTAAGAAGCAGCTACTTAGCAAACATATTGGTATTGGGTGGCTAGGGGATAAGTGTATCCAGGTCCCTGAATGGTCACAGATGTCCCATTGGTTGGGACATCTTTCAAGACAGTGGAAGGGCCTCAAAACCTCTCTCCAGGAAGTAACGACTCAGCCAAACTATACTTGCTTAGAAGAATCGTCAAACCAGGAAAGAAGACAACAAGTTCACTTTAGAGGGTAGCTCTCACTAGCAGGAAGTATGGTATAGCAGGAAGGGGCCATACCCTTGGCTTTGGAATCAGACAGAACCAGCCTCCACCACTTACAACTTTCTACTTACATAATGTGAAGCAAGTAACTTAACCTCTTTGAGCCTTGCTTTCTTCCTCTTTTAAATGTGAATGGTCAATTAGTATTAGATTCAGCTACGAGTAATAGAAACTCTAAAACCCCTAGTGACTTAAAACGTTAAAGAGGATAAAAATAATCTGGATGCAAGGGGTTCCGGACTAGTATGGGGACTGAACAAGTCATCAGGGATCCAGGTTCCTTTCATCTGGCTATTCTGTCTTTCTCCAATGTGTGCTCAAAATGGCAGCAAGCTCTAGACGCTTTGTCCAAACTCCCACCAGCAGGAAGGCAGAGCATGCATCATCCGCCTCTAAGAATACTTCTCAGAAGTTCTACTTAACTCTTCCTCTTATGTTCTACTGGCCAGAACTTAGTCACACGGCCATACCTCTATGCAAGGGAGTAGGGGGCTTGGAGATTTAGCTTGTGTTCCCAGTGGCCACGGGCCCAGCTAAGACTCAGAGGTTCCATGGTTCCATTTCTTCTTAAAACATATGAGTGAGTACTGGGGTATAATTAGTCTGTCCTGTCTAATTTACAAGATAAAATGAGATAATGGGTGTAAATCATCTATTTCAGGGTCTAGCATGTAGGTAGCACTCAGTAAATGGTAATGACTGCTATAGTTAAGGTTGATGTACCCCCCCCCACCCAGGAATACATTTCCATGAGAAGTCTTGGCAATACCCAACACTTGACTTCATCCCAGGGACACAGTGTAATACCATCAGATTTATCACTGAGATCAAAGTGAAGATCCCAATAAAGTCAAATAGTGAACTTGTAGAGTGCTCAAAGGAGATAAGTGAAGACGTGCAAAGCCTTGCTAAACAGGACCCATGGGGGAGAGATTTGAAGAAGCCATCAGGGTTTTGACTAGAAGGCAGGGGTCCTCAAAGCTGTGAAAGTCTGATCTATCAGAGGTGGCTGCCAAGCTGTGCTTTCTTCTGCAGATGGCAAAAGAAAAAGATGTGAAACAAGGTGAGAGTTAGATGATACTGGGGTCCGCGTGTATTTAGGTTTTCAATCAGGAAATGGAGGAAGTGGAAGGGATACTGTCAATTTAAGGTAGAGCTGTTTTAATGGCTTAGTGGATATCTAATAAGCATTTTCTGAATCAAATAAGAAATTACAATCTTTCTGGAGTAACAGAATATAGACATGAAGATTGTATTAGTCAATTAGTCATGGTTCTCCAGAGAGACAGAATCAATAGGTTGTTTGTGTATATATGTTTATATATACATCTTATATGTGTGTGTATGTGTATACGTGTGTGTGTGTATGTATGTATATACAGAGAGAGAGAGAGAAAAAAATTTATTTTAAGGAATTGCCTCATGTAATTAGGAGGTTGGCAAATCCCAAATCTGCAAGGTAGAAGAGCAGGCTGGAGATTCAGGGGACACTTCATGTTGCAGTTTGAGTAGAAGGCGGCCTGCCACTGCCTAGAGAGTTCTCTCTTCCTTGGAGGAAGTTTGTCTTTTTCTGAAGGTTTTCAGCTGATTGAATGAGGCCCACCCACATTACGGAGGGCAATCTGCTTCACTCAGAGTCTACTGATTTTAATGTTAATCTCATCTTTAAAAAAAATCTTCACAGCAATGTGCAGACATGTTTGACCAAATATCTGGGTCCCATGGCCTAGCCAAGTTGACACATGAGATCAACTATCACAAAGATCTTCAGAGTCTTATCCAGAAATAGAATCATACCCACTTGGGGACCTTCTGTTGCTATCAGATTTTCCTCACTCAAAAAAGCTTTTAGTGGACAAAACAAACAGATTACTCAAAGAAATACTTTGAAATGTAAAAGGGCATCAACAAAGAGGTTAGGCTCCAGGCATAGGTCATGAATTTTCCTTTCAGAGTTAAAATAATAATAATAAAAACCAAAGCAAGGGGAGGTGGAGTTGGACATTCAGACTGGACAGCAAACTGAAATGTTAGAAAATGATTAAAGCCATAGGAGGTGGCTGATTGAGAGCCCTAACATATGAAAAGTCTGTTATTGACTAAAGCAGTAGATGGAAATTTCATAGAAATTAATTGAGTTTTTGCCCTTATTGCTCCCAAGAGAAGCAGGGTAGCAGAGGAAGGTGTAGAGTGAGTAAGTGGGCATGCTGAATGTGTAAGTGTATATGTGTTTATATTTCAGACATGTTTAAATGGAAGAGAGAGGAATGAGAGAGGAAGGCAAGAATACAAATATTTAAGAAAGCTTTATTTTCCTGAAGCAAAGAATGACACTTGAAACCGAGGGAATCTCAATGTCCACCTTGCATTTCCATGACCAGCAAGAGAGGGGAACCCCTACAGGTAATTTGAGGGGTGCTGTGAACGTGCCTATCATCTCCCTTCTCCTCCTGTCATATTTCTTGGGAAACCCAGCACGAGTCACTCCTTTGGGTTGTAGCACTGGATGGGCTGGTACATGGAGTAGAATCAGTCCTTGGCATTTAGGAGCTACAAGCCATCAGGCTCAGGAAGGAAGAAGGACAACATCCGTGCATATCCAAATCTGAGTAGCGTCCAGGAGGACTCCTCTCAAGCCCAGCCATGATTGTGCCTTGCTCAGCTCAGAAGACCCAGAGGCCCCCCCATCCAGATGAGTTCAGTGACAGCATCTTTACCCACACAACATGGCCTGACTTTCCCTCTTGGCCTTCCCTGCTGCTGCCCCTGCCTGCATCCAGCACTCCAGCCCACCTTTCTGGTTCCAGCTCCCTGAACATTTTCAAGGCTTGCCTGTCTCTGTGCTTTCCTTCGTGCCGGGTCCTCAGTCTGAAAGAATCCTCCCCACCCCTTAGCCTATCCACAGAGTTTTCCAAACCCAGTCATATGCCACCTTCACCATGCAGTCCTTTCCTTTTCGTTTTAGTTGCAAAAGGAGTGAATTTTATTGTTTAAAAAATGCAGTCAAACTTGGAAAGTATAAAGTAAAAAGTTTCTCTATGCCGCACTTCCCACTGTGACTATTGAAAACAACAAACTGGTACCAAGGTACCAAGTTATAATAGCTGTGATCTTGTTATCAGTTTGGTGGGTACCTAAAGCCCTCTGATACCCCCTTCTAGATCACTGAATAAGATTTCTCCAACCTCTGAACTTCCCTAGCATTTGGTACCCCGTTATGATGTTTTACCTTGTTCTGCATTGTGTTATAGTTATATCTATACTTACCTTAATTGATCCCCACACTTCAGTCTTTGCTGACTCAATTGATTTGAGGGTCTATATTTCCCTGTCACAGAGCTTAGGACAATTGGCTGCACATTTGGTTTAGTCCATCAAACCTTTATGAACACGTGTTCTGGGCCCTATTGACCTAGGGGCCAAGGATACAGAAACAAATAAAACACAGCCCAGCCTTAAAGGAACCTAAAGTTTAGGTGACCTTTCTTTCCCACCAAAAAACAAAAAGGCAAACAAAAAGTTCGCAGAACTGTTAGACAGTAACAACACAGAAGCAGCAGATCCTGAATCTGTGCAGGTAGCACTCATTTGAACTAATAATTGCTTTAGAAATATTTGGCTGGGCACAGTGGCTCACGCCTGTAATCCCAGCACTTTGGGAGGGTGAAGCGGGCGGATTACTTGAGGTCAGGGATTTGAGACCAGCCCGGCCAACATGGTGAAACCCCATCTTTTCTAAAAATACAAAATTTAGCCGGGCAGGGTGGCAGGCGCCTGTAATCTCAGCTACTCAGGAGGTTGAGGTAGGAGAATCACTTGAACCTGGGAGGCAGAAGTTGCAGTGAGCCGAGATCATGTCACTGAACTCCAGCCTGGGCAACAGAGAGAGACTCCATCTCAAAAAAAAAACAAAAAATGAAAAAACAAAAAGACAAAAAAAATTTAAGAGCACTTACAATGCAACTATGAAATATGAGCAAATGATACTGAGCTCATAGTGGGGAGCAAGGAATGAGAAGAAACATTGGTTGAGAGGGGGTTAAGTTCAAGGACTTTTGCAAAGCTTCCAGAGGAGTGTGACTGAGTCTGGTAGTTGAGCACCTGGGACATTATTTATGATGCATTGAAGGATGTCAACAGCATTCTTCCGGAGAATTTTGCCCGCAAGGGGAGGTCATTAAAAGAGGAGGCACTGCCACACCGGAATGGGTAAAGCCTTCCAGCTTCTACTTTAATCCTTCTGACCCGGGAGATGAATTTCTTTTTCTGTTGATCTTTTCTGTGCCTCAGTCATCGACTAGTATTTATATTTTCAACCAGCATAGCATATAGTGAAGAGGTGTTGATGTCACACAGACCAGGATTCAAATGTTGGCTTTGACACATACCCACTGAGGGCCAGGGCAACTGGGGAGCCCAAATTTTCTCCTCTGAAAAATGGGAATAACAGCATCTAAATCACAGGACTATTGTGAAGATGAAAATTAATTGCGTTTGGGAAGGTGGCACAAAACAAATGCTCAATGCATGGGAGCTATTGTTATTGTTAGGCCCATTGCCTCTAACTAGAGGCAATCATTTTAAAGAGAGGGAGAACCCATCTCATTCTTCTCTGTGCTCCCAGAGCTCAGCAGAGTTTCTGCACACCAAGAGCATTCATTAACTGACACTGAATTTCCTGCTCTGCTTAAAGAATGCTGCTCCCAAAGGAAATGCAAATACACAAGCTCCTATATCAGCTCACCAAAGAGGGAGCCAACAAGTGAAAGGAGTGGATGAAAAGTATCCCATAAAGGGACACAATGTGGTTTACGGGCCAGGCAGTGGATGAAAAGAGAGTATCAGTAAGTGCAGGTGTATAGATGACCAAAGGACATTTTCCAGTGGACTGGGCTTGAAATTCATTTTCCAAAACTCAGCTTCTTTTGTTTTTTCAAGACAGGGTTAAGTAGAAAGAGACAGTTTATATTTTGTCCCATGTAAAGAAGGTATTTATGTGAAATATGACAGCTCAGTGTGCAAGAATGCAAACCACAGCTTGTGAGATAATGTGGCTATGAGGCAATGATCTGAAATCTGGAAGAAAATCGATCTTAAATCTTTATATTGATCCAAATATTTGAAAGTGGTAGGAAGGAATATGCTTGCTAAAGAGGGGATGAATATGGATGGCTTGTTCCAGTTTCTTTAGGCCTTACAAAAGCAAATTTTACACCAAACCTCACTCTGTATACTTACTTTACATAAGATCAAACTTAAGGGAGACGAGATCAATATTGAAGCTCTGTCTGAGATTCCATCTCTTTAATACCTTTCTCATTTCCTTTAGTAGTAGAAAGAGAGCTAATCTCTGTCTTTCAAATAGTTGTTTTGCATTTTTTGATCATGGGGAATTAAATTGAATTAGATGGGTCTGGAGTGGTTATTAGAACCATTACATTTGGCATAATAGATACATCTAGAGAAAACATTTACATAAGGAAATCAAAGCTGGTCTCATTTTTTATCCAGTGCTCTGACCTCTTTGGAGTTCTGACAAGCAGGATTTATCTGAATATTTCTTAAGATGGTATGTATAACAGTAAAATGCACCCCCTAACACACCTACCTAAACCAGCATTTCCTTCTGAAAAAAGAAAAAAACTGCTTAAAAAAGGAGGTATTTTCATATACTTACAGACATATTTTCCATTTGGATCCTTATTTGAATTTTACTCTCATTTAGAATATAATTCTGAAATCTCCATCATTAATGCTAAGCCTGGCAATATTCCATAAAAAAAAACCCACCAATAAAACACAAAAGCTAGATGTGAAGAGGATTATGATGTCATATTAAAAGAAGGGAAGGGAGAATTAAAATAAAAGATCTATCTGAAATGATCAGAAATGAAATTCTCTTTGGGATAAAATGGTCTCTTCCAGAAATGCAGCCATTTAAAATAAGATTATAGTGATATTTTATAAGAACTAAAGCAGAATACAAACTATCTTTCCCTGAATTAACTCACAGTTATATACAATGAACAGTAGATACAAATAAGGCATTTTTAGGCTTCTCCATTTTGCTTGGCAATTTCTCAACACAAGCTCCTGCATTAATAAAATCAGGGGTCTGGGTAAATGATGCAAACTTTAGGGCCCTATCACATCAAAATCAGATTGTCCTGGGTATGGGGTGGGAAGATTCTGCATTTTAAAAAGGACCCCAGGTAATTCTAAAACCCACTGGTGTTTGAGACTCCAGTTTAGAGCATCTCTGGGAAGCATAGGGGGACCAGCACAGAATTCAAAGCATACTTCATATCCAGCAACTCTAATAGTCCAGAGTTTGAGCCCTGCCTATCTGTTACTACTAGAGTGACCTTAAACAAGTCACTTAATCTCTCTAAGCCTCAGTTTTCTCATTTGTAAACTGGGATAATTTGCTTCACAGGTTGGCTTGAGTATTAAGGAAGTGATGATCCTCTATTAAAGCCCTATAAGAAGCTGGGCACCATGGCTTATGGCTGTAATTCCAGCACTTTGAGAGGCCAAGACAGGAGGATAGCTTAAGGCCAGGAGTTCGAGGTCAGCCTGCGCAGCAGAGAGAGACCCTTCTCTACAAAAAAAAAAAATAATAATAATAATAATAATAATAATAGTTGGGTTTGGTGGCACATGCCTGTAGTCCTAGCTACTCAGGAGGTTGAGGTGGGGGTATCATTGAGCCTAGGAGTTTGAGACTACAGTGAGCTATGATCATGTTACTGCACTCCAGAATGAGACCCTGTCTCAAAAAAAAAACAAGAACAAAAACAAAAAAAAACACCTTACCTGATACAACTTATTTCTTATTACCAGTATTGTTACTATTTGGCCACAAGTGTGATAACAAAAGAGAGCCTTGTCTACCTGGCAACACTGCCACTGTCAAGAGAAGGAATATAGAGATGACAAATTAAGTAGACCAGAACATAACTGGGCAGTGAAATTCCGTGTGATCATCAAATACATTTTGAGAGTAAATATAAACAATTGGTTGGCACAGAGCTAAGATGAAAAAAAAATATTGATGGGAATGATAAGGTAGAATTCAGTTGGGACAAAGCCTTCCTGAAGTGCAAATGATCAGATCAGGATGGCTGTTGGGAAGTGTGTGGTTCTGTTTCTCAGAGACATCTGGATGATAAAGAGTGGTGAGACCTCCGACAGTCTTTGTAGAAGCCCCAGGGACAAAAATGAGAGAGGAAAAAGGAAGTTTCCAAATACTTGTGTCTGCGATGAAGAAGCATGGCTGGATGGAGGAAAGAAAGGTTGAAATGGCATTTAGAAATTAGAGCAAAGGGCCAGTCCCCATGGCACAAGCCTGTAATCCCAGCACTTTAGGAGGCCCAGGTGGGAGAATCACTTGAGGCCAGGAGTTTAAGACTAGCCTAAGCAACAGAGTGAGAGCCAGTCTCTACAAAGATCACTTGAGCCCAGGAGTTCGAGATGACAGTGAGCTATGATAGCACCACTGCATTCCAGCTTCAGTGACAGAGTGTGACCCTGTCCCCAAAAAGGAAAAAAGAACAGAAAAGAAATTGCAGCAGAGGAACAATAAGGAATCCTGAGACTAAAGTTGATTTCCAACTCTGAAACAAATGATCAGAACTCCAAAATTGATACAATTTTAAAATATTTCCCTGACCAGGTGCAGTGACTCATGCCTGTAGTCTCAGCACTTTGGAAGTCTGAGGCGGGCAGATCACTTGAGGCCAGGAGTTCAAGACTAGCCTGGCCAACATGCTGAAACCCCGTCTCCACTAAAAATACAAAAATTAGCCAAGAGTAGTGGTGCATGCCTAAAATACCAGCTACTCAGGGGGCTGAGGTGGGAGAATCTCTTGAACCTGGGAGGCAGAGGTTACAAGTGAGCTGAGATCATGCCACTGCACTCCAGCCTGGGCTACAGAGTGAGACTCCATCTCAAATACATATATATTTCCCTGATCACAAATGATGCAAGTTTGGTGACTGAAAGCCACAGCCCTGCCCTCCTTGTAGGTTCCTTGTATGTGTGGTTGGGGATGTGGAGGGGAGGAGGGTGCTATGCTTCTCCTGGAATAAGATCTGGAAACTCTAGGGACAAAAGTAGCTGCATGTCAAAGGGCTCTGGCTTCCTTTGTGTCATGTGCTTGGAGTTTAGATATAAAGCTCTGAGGATCCCTCCTTTTGGAGTCTGTATAAACTGATGTTCTTCCTGGAAGCCCTATGCTGTGCCTGGCTTTTACTCATTCTGTTCCCTTAACAGGAATGTTCATCCTCTGCCTCTGACCTGGGAAGTCTCAGTCATCCCCGAGGACCAATTCCAAATGTCAATTCATTCACCACCATTGCCCTTGTCATTGCATCCACTCCTCCTCTCTCTCTGACTTGTGTTAATGGTAGGTAACTGTGTATGAATCTAGGCTGGGGGTTTGTCTTTGAGGTCAAGGACTATTTCTGATTCACTGTGTGTCTCCCTAAATCCTTCTTCCACCCAGCAAAGATGCTCAAAATATATATACAAATGATAGCCCTTTGTCCTGTACCTTTTCTGAGCTTTGGAATGTCTCTCTGTACTGATAGAGCATCATGCAACAGACCCAGCAGAGGAGGAAATAGCTGTGAGATTATCTGCCCATTATAGCAGGATTCAAAGAAAGCTGCTTTCATGCCAGGAAGCCAGGGGATCGTAGTAAACGGCTGTCTTTAACCAAAGACAGGGATCTTCCACTATTAGGAGGGATCTTCCACTATTGAAAGTTGAGACCCTGGGACCCCTGTCTCATCTATCTCTGCCATCAGACCTGCCGCTTCTCACATAGTTGCATATGGACAAGATGCCTCATTTTGGTGTGCACTGGGAGATCTGGCCTATCCATGAAACTCTCTCCATTGGTTGCCTGTTGAAAGGGCTCCCTACCAATTTGGTCATAACACAGACCAAATTGAGGAGGTTAAAAGAGATCAAGTGTCTGAACATGGCTTCTTTGGACTCTAGGAGGAGTTGATCAAGTGTCACTCCAGTGCATATACTGTTTTTATGCACAGTATGGATTTGAACATCCTGGTGAGTGAGTCCATGTTAACAGTATGTTCTCAAGCAGGAATATGCAGCTCTAGCTTCTGTTTTTAGAAAGCTCAGAGATTTTTTGCACTGGAAGAGAATTAGACATCCAACATCCTCATTTCAAAAGGAAACTGAAGTCAGAGAGGAGAAGGGACTTCCCAATGGTACATAACCTGCTATTGGCAAAGGTGGGACCAGAGCCCTTAAGTTTTTCAACTTCTCCAGCAAATTCCTCATATCTAAGAGCAACGCTTCAGTTTTCCTTAATAAAGTGCCCCAGATCCTCACATTCATCCCTTTCAGAGTGCAACTTCCTACTTGGTTTACAAATGAGTCAAGAAAAGAAAATCTCCTCTTTAGCAATGTAGTGTGGGACCAGCTCACTTGAGTATGCAAAACTTGTCCTTGAGAGCTGCTAGCTCTTTACTATTTTTTCTGGGTGCAACAGTGTGCATGTCACCCCACCCTTACTGCCTGGCTGTCTTCACACATCACCTTCTCTGAGAGTGCTTCTCTAATATCCCCACCCAAAGAGCTCCCCACATATGCAAATCCATTGATTATCATGTCTCTTTGCTTTTTCAGTCTCCATGAAAATTATTGAGACCTAAGATGTAAGACCTATTTCTGATTATTTTGTTTATTGGTTGTCTTCTCCCACCAGAATGTAAGCCACATGAGGTTAGGAGCCTCTCTGTCTTATTCTCTGTAGTATCTCTGGCTCCTAGAGTACTGCCTGGTACAGGGTTGCTACTTCATTATTTCTTACTGTATATGAGAATGAATGAGTGAATTGAAAAGCAATTGAACTCTGGTTGTGCCTTACAGGTATAGCAGAAGTTGTCTGCACAGAGAGGAAGGAAGGAGACGATCTTTGATATGAATTCTGTTGGCCAATGAGGCCTAGAATGTTAACAATTAATGGCCACATTTTCCTAGTTAACTACAAAGCAAGAGTGAAAAGGAGATAATGTTGGACTAACTATTTGACTACATTGTCTGATTTATCCAAAAGGTGGTATGGAATTTTGATCCAGTAGTGGTACATCATCTTTGATAATACACACGTACACATAAGGGAGTGTACACACCCATATACACTCACTCACACTCTGCTATTGCCTACTACCTATTAGATACTCCCAACAAAAGCTCTTAAACTAAAAATGACATGGTGTTGTTAAGTTTCTCAGGGAAATCCACCTATCTATGGAACTCAAGAGAGCAGAGGGCTGGTCTCTGGAGAAAAATAAAACAGGGTCAAAAACCAATTTTATTTGTTATTTTTCACTGGAAATACATGGTTAATCCAAGAACTAGCAAAGAGGTGTTGAAAAAGATTCTCTGATGTCATTTGTTTTTTCTTTTTCTTTTTTTTTTTTTTTTTTTTTGAGACGGAGTTTCTCTCTTGTTGCCCAGGCTGGAGTGCAATGGCACAATCTCAGCTCACTGCAACCTCTGCCTCCCAGGTTCAAGCGATTCTCCTGCCTCAGCTTCCTGAGTAGCTGAGATTACAGGAGTGCGCAACCATACCTAGCTAATTTTGTATTTTTAGTAGAGGCGGAGTTTCTCCATGTTGGTCAGACTGATCTCAGACTCCTGACCTCAAGTAATCCACCTGCCTCAGTCTCCCAAAGTGCTGGGATTACAGGCCTGAGCCACCGAGCCCAGCCTCATTTGTTTTTTCATACAGATATATCTCATCTGCATTAGAGGTAGATCCAAGATTAAGATGTGAACATGTTCCAGCTTTAATTTCAGTTGTTTTTCTTTTTTAAATAAAGAAAAGCCAGCAATACAATTTGTTTCTCATTGAGCACTATACACATTCAGCTATGACTGAGAATTTAGAAGATACAAATTCAAACTCCAGTTTAATTTCCTTTTTCCTGTTTGACTCCAAGCTCAGTAGGTGATCTTATAAGTTGACAGGGGTAACATTGCACCTATTAGCACTTGTCAACCAAAAGTAGATTGTTCGGGTTTCAATAAATGTTTTTTTGAATTGGATTTAGGTTGGTGAGAAAATATATTAAGTCAGAATTCTTTGAGGCAAATTACATATTGAAATGAACAGTTTGGTGTTCATCCTGTCTACCATCCCCCTCAAAAACAAAGAGACAGACAGAAAGAAAAAAAAAGCAGAAGTTTTGCTTTTCTAAGCTACGAGAATTTCTTCTGCTGCTACATCTGTGAACGCTTTACAAGGCAATGTCTACAGTTTGAGTTTTACAGCCCATTTTGATTGCAGTTTACATGACATCTGGGGCTCTATTTTTGGAGAAATTTCAAAGCTAGTGACTTCCAGTTTTTAATCAGCAGTGTATTTATTTTCTACCCTAGCATAATTGTTCATGGCTCCACATTGATTTTTTTATAGGAGACAATGCAAAATGATAATCAGAGTGAATTAGTAATTTGATCTTGTATCTGTCAAGGCTTGATGGCTTTTACCTGCTCTAGAGGCTAGAAGGCAATGTGCTGACCTCATTGTGTTGAAAAAAATTGAACACATCGTGGTTGTCAAGGACAAGACATTCTCAGTCATAAGAACAAAGAGAGCAAGAAAGGCTAATGAGGGAAGAGGCCATACAACCCTGAAAAGTACACAGCCTCCTGCCCCTCTGCTCAGAATCTGGGGTCATGTTTGCAGCCACAGGTGCCACATGCAGAAGTGTCAGAGGTGTGAAAACCAGAGCAACTCCATCTTGAATAGGAGCTGGGTAAAATAAGGCTGAAACTTGCTGGGCTGCATTCCCAGACAGGTTAAGGCATTCTAAGTCACAGGATGAGATAGGAGGTTGGCACAAGGTACAGGCCATCAAGACCTTGCTGATAAAACAGGTTGCAGGTTGCAGTAAAGGAGCCAGCCAAAAACCACCAAAACCAAGATGGCCGTGAGAGTGACCTCTGGTCATGCTCACTGCTGCACTGCCACCAGCGCCATGACAGTTTACAAATGCCATAGCAATGTCAAGAAGTTACCCTGTATGGTCTAAAAAGGGGAGGGATTAATAATCCACCCCTTGTTTAGCATATCATCAAGAAATAACCATAAAAATGGGCAACCAATAGCCCTCAGGGCTGCTCTGTTTACAGAGTAGCCATTCTTTATCCCTTTACTTTCTTAATAAACTTACTTTCACTTTGCACCACGGACTTGCCCTAAATTCTTTCTTGCGCGAAACCCAAGAACCCTCTCTTGGGGTCTGGATAGGGACTCCTTTCCAGTAGCGCATTTAACAGAAGGACAGGCTGTGCAGACATTATTTTCGCTCCTTTCTACTGAGAAGGGAAAACACCACAATTGAGCAGCCTGCTCCTCTATAAGTGAATGAATAAGCACTTGCTTTTCATTGTGGGTGAGTCAAATGGCCTGGCATATATGCAAGTAAGAACTAGAGCAGAGGCTGCTCACCTGCAAACTCACATCAGGGCTTCTGCCCGGAATTACGGTATTTTTTGTTTGTGTGTGTGTTGTTGTCATTGGCTTCTTTTCATAGGGGTTTGGATGAAGCTATTTAAACACATGAGACAGCAGCCACTAGGACTGTATCTAAGAAGGTAAGTGGTTTGCCCAGGGTTACATGGCTAGTGGAAGAGCTAGTCTTTACAAGAATCTTTTACATAAACCAAACCAGGTGAGGTAGGATCAATAAGAGGGTGAAGTGAGGAACCGACATTTTTAAGAGCTCCATGAAATGAAGGAGCTTGGAGAGAAAATTGATAGATGGTACTTTCAGTAGCCCAGCCTCCTCCTGTAATTTCTGGCTTCACCTTTCTCTAAGCCCTCCTTTGCTCTGAGTTCTGTCTGGGCAAGTCCCAAGCTCCTGGAATGCATCTTTGCCTTCCTTATCTGGAAGCTAATCACTAAATAGCAGGTGGCGGAGATTCTGGTTTTCATCCCTCTTTCTCTCTCCCTTTCTCTCTTTTACTCACTTCCTCAGGGCTATGAATTTCTGAATCTTAAACAGGAAACCTCCCTGATTTGTTCACACCTGGAATGCCATTCTATCTTTGTTTGAAGAGTGCAGAAATTAGAGCGCGGGAGAATCAAGAGAAGGAGCTGTTGTGTGAAGAGGGAAGAGAGAGGTCAGCATTTAAATGTGAACACACACACTGAGAGGCACATATACATGCACACAGTTTAATCTAAGCTAAGCATTCTTTCTTTCAACTCCTGCATTTCCCTCCTCATCTCCACTGCCAGCAAATGTCTTACAAGACAAAGAGTATTTACTGTGTGTCACTTCAGTTATCAACACTCTGCACAAATAGGTTGACAGAGGAAACAGGCAAAGTACCTTTGCAGGCCCATTTGGGGTTGAAATAGCAACTAGACTGCCTAGAGGCTGCCAGATATTAGCTTACTTATTGCTCCTGCAAATGTTAGAAGCTGGCTCTTGAGAGAACCTGTCATCAACATCCCTGTCCCCGTGGGTGTCAGGAAGGTTCGGCCTTCTTTAAGGTAGGCACTGTGTCCTCATGGACTGTTCATTTTGGGAAGAACCTTGGGAGATCACCTGGTTCAAGCTCCTGGCTTTAGTCATTGTTTGTCTCTAAATCCAGAGACCAATGTTTGTGATCTACTGACTCGTAAGCTCCCTATGAGGAAAATGGAACAAAATATTGGGCACAAAGACATAAATCTAAATGCATGGTTTCTAATCTGTGGACCCTGAGATCCCACAGGAGCACCATATTTGCATGAATCAGTGCTTATAGGTTGACCAAATAGCATGATTCACACACATATATTATAATACTTCTAATGGTTTTATTCATTCATTCTACAAATACAGTACTGCTTTGTGCCAGAAACTGTGGTAGGTGCTGAGCATATAATAGACAGGGAATAAGTCAAACTGACTCTGCCTTCATGGAGCTTCCTGTCCAGTGGTAAAAACAGGCAGAGAGAGCTGCAGAAACACAGAGTGAAAGCAATAACTCAGATTTGGAATATTATATAGATAAGGTTATGATTAATAGAACTCAAATTCCTTTAAAGGTAGTAGTCTCTGTCTGCTATTAAGCATTTGCTCTACCAATGCATTCCTAAATGTATTTTTATCTACATGACTATACATGTTTTCAGATTCAAATGTGCTCTCCTGACTAAAAAGATTGGATACCACTGACCTAAATCATCTGCTAGGATTGCCTTTTCTATCCCAGGTGAATAAATTAAATAGCTATGTAGTTTTCCCTTTGCCACTGGAAGTTTCACTGAAAAATCAACTCATGAAAGGCAGATTAATAAGAGAAAAGGCATAGATATTTGTTCACATTCATGCGAGAATCACAGGGTGATTTCCCAATATCCCAGTGGGTTACAGATGCTTGTATACCTACTTCTTGAGGGAAAGAGAGATGGGACATTGTGGATGACTTTAGGGACATTAGTAAATAATTTTCAGGGCAATTCAATGGCTGTGAAGAATATACAATGGCCTGGGAGAAAGTCTGTTGGGCCCACAGAGCAGAGAGTAGTTTGTGATAAAAGTCTGCCCATGTTTGTTGACAGACTTCAGTTTTTCTTCCTGCGATATGAGTTCAGTTAATGAAAATTCAGAGAAGGGATCAGAAGTAATTGTTTTCGTCTTTGGTAGGTGTAGATCTTAGGCAGATAAGGGAATTTCAGAGAACAGCTTCATCCTTCTCCATGATAGAAGTAAAGGATTGAGAGACAGAAGCGGGTAGAGAGGGAAAAACAATTGTTCTCCTTGGTGGGTCCGTCTGATCTTTACGTAGATAGGGGGAAAGTCTCCTCCAGCATCTGTTGATCTCAAAGGACCTTTAATTTAAAATACCCATTATACCAGGGAGCTATATTTTGGGTGAAGTTTCCTGTGCTCCTTCAGCAAGAAATAATATTTTACCAATATTCCAGTAACCCTCAGGGAACAATTTTTTCATAGTTCTACACTGGCTTTGCATCACTGAAAATTAATCTCAGAGTTCTCTGTACCCCATAACCCAAGAATGCTACGTCTCTGGGGAACCCTGCAGAAACCCAGAAAGAGCATGATCATTTGGTTATAAATTCCACCTCCCTAGTGGGCAGCCTCATCTCTGTCCTTGACATGGGTGAGGTTGGAGGCAAAGGTTTGTTGTTGATTTTGGTATGCTATGGAATACCAGGCCTGGAGCCACAGGACATGACTTGTTGCTCTATTAGACATGCTAAATAAGCTCCTGAAACAAAGAAATCAAGCGAAGATTAGATGGGAGGATTTTCTTGTCAAGAATTATGAATGCAAAAATAACCCTGAAAATATAGCTATAGTTGAATAGGGGCTGGGCAAGACAATGGACAGAAAGATTTGTTAGACATAAGATCCCACTTAAATCAAAATGATCCACCAAGGCTCAGCTCCCAATGGGGTCTCTATGTGCAGATTCAAGGGTAGAAATATTGTAGGGACGTTTTTAGTATCAATTCTGCATTAGACAATGTGATAGGTATCAAGCCTACAAATACCAATGAGATATAGTCCTTTAACTGTCTTCTTTTAGTTAAAAAAAAAAGTAATTGTCAATACTCATTAAAAATATAAATAAATAAATAGTATTTTAAACTTTGTGACAATGGGCAGAACAGCAACAAGGAAAGCAGGCCAAGGCACTGGGTTTGGAGTCAAGAGATGGGTTTTATCCTGGTTATATGTTGAATTTACTTCCCACCTTGGGCAAATCACTTCCCTATCTAATCAGTTTCCTAACCTGTAAAATGACAAAAATCACTTCCACTTCCTAGTTTTATGATTCCAGGTCCAATACAAGAAGGAATTTCTTTTAAGGGCCCCCTTAATCTGGTCAAAGTTATCCTTCCCAGCAGGGCAGAAACTTCACCTGTTTGCATTAGGCCTGGGTTGTGGGATAAGCTATCTCCTGACAGACCCCAAGAGTCTCCATCTTCCAGTCCTCCCCAAGTGACCCCATGAGAAGACGTATTAAAGGAAGGAATTCAAAACAGTATGGCCCATGTAAAGAGTATCCTTTAGGAACAGGATCTGTTTACTTAGTGGCTGGAAACTTAAATGCATGCATTGTATACCGCCCAACCCCCAACTCCCCACCCCCACTGCTATCATAGCCATTAAAAAAAGGAGCATAGCAGATCTCTGACAGTTAGACCTTACCCATTTTCAGCTCTGGACTTTCACTGAGGTAATATCTTTACCTGTTGCCAACTAGACCTGTTGGTGTGTGTAACTGTTTCTTCATTCTGACTCATCACACCTTGCTTGTGGCAGCGAACCCAGGCGCCATTGTTTCCTGGTGATCTCTGGCCTACTTTTTCCCAAACGCTGTGAGGCAGCCATGGAGCCTTGTGAAAGAGATTGACTTTCTCTCAGGTAGCCAAGGGCCTTTGGGACAGCTACCTCCTGATCCCCTTTAACCCCAGGGGGAACTCTGAAGGCTGAGCCCCTCCTAAGTTACAACATAGAAGTTAGTTCCAGTAAAACTTTCCAGGCTCTGCTAATTCCATAAGGGACTCTTAAAGAATGAGAAATGGAAGCCCAAGGTCTGCATAAAATCCTACATGTGCTAAGCCCGCCAAAATCAGTTTGTTGAGGAGAAGGAGCACAGTAGGAAGAGCTTTTGTATTTTCAATTCAGATAAACCCCAGTAAGACTAGCCATAGGGCAACATAGAACTGCTTATGGTTCCATATATCTTGCTGTATTTTCATTCCATGCCTTACCATTTAAAATATTATTTAATTATCTTTTTAGTGAGTATTGCCAATTACCGTTTTCTTTGCTAAAAGAAGACAGTTAAAGGACTATATTTTCTTGGTATGTGTAGGCTTGGTGCCTATCACATTCCATTCCAAAAACATGTGCCTAATGTTTCTGGAATGTCCTCTCCCAGTCCACAGCCTCTCTTCACTGAGCTAATTGCTACTTGTCCTTAACACTCAGCTCAAACATCACCTCCTCCAGGAAGTCTCCACTGACCTCCCCCTTTGCATTAGATGCCTGTCTTGATACATCCCCCTAAGGCGTTCTGTGTAGCTCTACCTGTGCACTTTACCATATTGTTACATATTTACCCATCTTTCTCACCTAGGCTCTACACCTTCTGTAGAACTAACTCATGTTATTCATCTTTTTTCCTCTCCATAGCTTACTACATGGCCTTGTATGTTTATTGTATGAATAAACAATCTGGTTCATCCACTTATTAGGTGTGTGTTCTGGGCAATTTAATTCACTTCTCTGAGCCTCAGTTTTCTCATCTATTAATTGGAAATAACAATCCATGTCTCTTAGAGATATTGTTCATATGAAGAGGTGACATATGTAAAGGCCTTCCACAATGCTGACACATAGGCACAGAGTCAATTCACCTAGGGCTGTGGATTTGCACAGGAAATGAAGAAAAAACACAAAAGCAGCAAGCTCAGAGCAATGAAGACTCTTGCTGTCAGTGTGCAGACCCTTTCCTCCATGGATGTATTGTCCCAACCAGCGCTCCCTTGCTGCAAGGGAGCCTGGAAGTCCTTTTTTTCCCTTTTTTTCCTTCCTTCTTTCCTTTCGTTTTCTCCTTTATTCCTTCCTTCCTTTCTTCCTTTTTTTCTCTCTTTTCGTAAATGAGAAACACATGAGTGAATCATTTTTATAAGTTTTCCTGGGAATCCAGCATCTCTAGCCAGAATATTAATAACGTGGTTACTCTGATGATTTCTCCCATTGACCCTAAAAACCTAGACATTCTCTTTTATAGGTAGGTCTCTTCAAGTGAGGTCAGCTTCTCCAGATAATTTCTGGTGATTTATGCAGACACCTTGGGGAGGAAAAAAGGAAGCAGCACTGATCTGAGCCTCCTGGAAACTCAACAAGTGGCCTGACCCTTGAAGGGTTTCTTCACCGTGTCTGGTAAAGTTTCCAAATTCTGGAGATGTGGAAGCAGAGGCACATTACCAGAAGGCCAGGTAATAAGCATGTTGGCAAGTACTACTGCTGGCCCTGACCCACCATATCATACCACAGGACCATCCACACCCATCCCCTATCCCAAAACCACACATCCACACTCCCCACCACCACCTTAACACACACACACTGCTCATTTCCCTCTGGAGATATGCAGGGCTCTCCATGGTCAAATGACCCTAAATCCTCTGGTGAATCAGGTTGAATCAGAGCCCATGAGTCATCCAGAGCACATCTAACCCAGGGTTAATTTATTCAGCAATCATTAAGAAAGCAAGTTCCTACTGCCAGGTGCCGTCCTAGGCATGACAGGCTGATGTTTCTAGAACATATTTGACAGCCTTTCTCCCCAAGTCACACCATGAAGGAGAAACCATTTCAGTTAAGAATGGTGAGTCAAGAGCTTGGCATGGAGGTATTACCAAGGAAGAGATCTGTGTTGAGCCTGTGTGCAGATCCTTAGCATTTAATTTATTCTGCAAGGACACACAAGGTGGTAGGAAACCACTCCAGGGAACCCACCGAAGAGTCAAGCAAAGCAGAGCATGGGTGCAATCACAAGTCATAGTGTGGGGTGGAGAGGCAAGGATGGGGGAAGAGCAAAGAAAAGGAGGACTTCCCTCAGAAGACCTGCTACTTTTAAACTCAACCTTGGCCAAAGAACCAAGAAGCACTTTAGCAACTTCCCCATGCTCGTCTCCAAAATTTCCTAGGATCTGAGAGGTGGAGGAGAGGGAGCTCCTTACAGGGAAATGAACAGAGAGTGATGGTGGGGCCTAGTTTGGGTTAGGCAATGTGGGCTACTGTGAGGGTTTTAAAATATAAATATGCAGAACACAGAGGGCTTTTAGGGCAGTCAACTACTTTTATGATACTATAATGGTAGATACCTGTCATTATACTTTTGTCCAAACCCATAGACTGTACAATACCAAGAATTAACCCCAGTGTAAACTCTGAACGTTGAGTGATAAGGATGTGTCAGTGTAGGTTTATCAGTTGTAACAAATGGGCCCCTCTGTGGGGGATGTTGATAATGGGGAGGCCATGCATGTGTGAAGGCAGGGAGTAGAGGGGAAATCTCTATACTTTCCATTCAATTTAGCTGTGAATCCACAACTTTCCTAAAAACTAAACTATATTAAAATAAAAAATCTTAAATAAAAAAACCACATGTCTGCAAATTATATGACAATCCCCTTAGAGAGAGGGAAGGCCAGCTGGGCACAGTGGCTCATGCCTGTAATCCCAGCACTTTGGGAGGCTGAGGTGGGTAGATCATGAATTCAGGGGTTCGAGACCAGCCTGGCCAACGTGGTGAAACCCCATCTCTATTAAAAATACAAAACATTAGCCAGGCTTGGTGGTGCATGCCTGTAATCCCATCTACTCAGGACACTGAGGCAGGAGAATCACTTGAACCCAGGAGGTGGAGGTTGTAATGAGCTGAGATCACACCATTGCACTCCAGCCTGGGCAACAGAGTGAGACTTGGTCTCAAAAAAAAAAAAAAGAGAAAGAGACAGAGAGAGAGGGAAGGCCTATAGCATTTCCCCTTGTATCTGAGCAAGCTTCTAACTTACTTGTAATCAAAAGAATGTGGCAGAAGTAATGCTCCATGACTTCCAAAGCCAAATGGTAAAAGACCTTGCAGCCTCCATCTTGTTCTCTGGAACATTTGCACTTGGAGTTCTGAACCCCAAGCCACGGTGTAAGAAATTCAACTGCCCTGAAACCACAACTACAATGAAAGGAATCTCAGGTGTCTGGAGCAGCCATGTGTAAGAGTGCTGAAGGTCACAGCTGAGTCCTACCCCAGAGCCAGCATCACCTGACTGACTTGTGAATTAATCAACATTTCATGATCCCACTCTCCCACAGCCTTGAATTCCCCACAGCCTTTGAGTCTTCCTAGTTGAGGCTCAGATGTTGTGGAGCAGAGGTAAGCAGCCCCTGCCATGCCCTGTTCAAATTCCTGGCCCATGAAATCTGTGAGCCAAAAAAAAAAAAGTTATTTTTATGTTTTATGCTCCTAAGTAGATGCAAACTGTAGTGACTTGCAGGGCTTCCTTGATCCAATGATGAGGATTGGGGGTGTTGGAGGGTGACCTGTGTCAGAAAAAGGAGAAAGAGGAATGCACAGACCAGGCCATGCCACTATGGAAGACAAACAATGATCTGAACAGTGCTATTTGTACAGACGGTCCACAACTTATAATGGTTTGACTTACAATTTTTTGACTTTATAATGACACGTAAGCAACATGTGTTCAGTAGAAACCATACTTCAAATATCCGCCTACCATTCTGTTTTTCACTTTCAGTTCAGTATTCAATAAATTACATGAGATATTCAACACTTCGTTATAAAATGGGCTTTGCGTTAGATGATTTTGCCCAACTGCGGGCTATGTCCTTGTTTGTTGCACGAACATTGTTCAAGTATGTTTAAGATACGTTAGGCTAAGAGATGATGCTCAGCAGGTGAGGTGTATTAAATGCATTTTCAAACTATAATATTTTCAACATACCCCGTCATAAGTTGAGGAGAGTCTGTACTATTTGCTTTTTTGAGGTGAAAATGGAACCTCATGTAAACACATTTCACGAAGGATCCCTGGGCCTGGCCTCTGGCATCACAGCCTTGCAGTGGTCACTGGGGATGCACACAGCCTCTCTTGACTGCTACCCTAATCAACAGCAGACAGGAGCCTCCTCCTCTTCAGAGGCCCTTCCCGTGGTTGGAAGCCAAACAACTTCATAGTGGGACATCTGTCTATTTCGCATAGGCTCCTTGGAGAAATGCTGGTGGACAGGATTTGAAGACTTGCAGTCAGGAATTCATTCCTCCCAGCAGGGGATGGGGGCTCAACTCCTGGTGACTCAGACCCTGGCAGGGGCTTCTGCCACTTCTTGCTTGTTCCCTCACCACCTCCCAGGGGTTTTTTTAGGTGATGACAAAGATTGTGTCTCCCCAAAAGGTATCCCAAAAACTGCCCTGAGATCAAGTTTTTAAGTTGTCATCTTAAAAAGTTCTTTTAAGTTGTCATCTTAAAAGAGACCCTAGTCAGCCTGGGAGTGCTGGTTTACATTTAGCTTCAGGGAGTTCCTTGTTGCAGAGAGCTCTCTTTATTTACTCTTTGTCTTTCTGTTATTTCCACTACTTGGAAAAAAGACCCACCTTCTCACCCCTACCCTTCCCACCATACCTCTAAGAATATTTGACTTGTTTAAACAGCCACTCATTAGAACTCAAGTTCATTTTAAGAAAAGCCTTTGACATCCTCATTCTAGGAGGAGAGGGAGGATGCACTCGATAGGCTCAGTGGGCAGGTCACAGGTAGGGAGCATCCAGGACCTCTGGAGTCCTTGGGACAGGCATGGTTAGACTCCATACATTCAGTGGAGAAGTGGAGGGTGGGTCCGCATCTGCGGGGCTTACCCATTAACCTGTGTCTTGGTTTTCTGAACAGCTCCATTTTTTACAGGTCCACCTGTGTTGTCAGAGGCCTTGTTATCTACTTTGGTTCACTCTGATTTTAATTGCCTCCTCTAACTTGGTGGGTGAATCGGACCTGAACTTACAGACTATTTGAATCAGAAGAGCCCTTAGAAATCACCTAGATCAGCCTTCAGAAAGGAAAAGTGACCTGTCCATGGTCACACAGCAATAGTTCTTCAGTGTCAGAGCTAGGACTAGAAATAGGGCCCCTGGCTTCCAAACCAGGGCTCTGTATTGTGCTCTCAGACTCCCCAGATGGGCTGCTTACTGGAGAGGATGAAGGAATTCAGAGAACATGCTTGAGATCAACCAATCACAAGACTTCTGCTGCCTGAGGTCCTGTTTGCCAAAACCCCCACTCTTTCTTCCTCTTCCACAGCCCAATCCCAGCCACCTAAACCTCTAGAATATTTTGGAGCTGAGCACAAACAAGCTGCTAAGGCAGTGTTCTATTCTTTAGGCATTCTTGAAATTACAATTTCTGCTTATTTTAGAAATTAAGACTTTCCCACCCACCTCTCTTTCTCCTCTTTTTATTCTCCTCCCAACCCTGGCTCTAAATTCATGTCTGCTTTTCTGTTTCCCTGGCTCATAACATATTTCACATGGCCAAGCTGCCATAAAGAATATTTCCTACAAATGCAAACACTGTACTTGGACATACCAATGAAACTTAATTTCTGTCAATGTGCTGTTTGGGGAGTTTTTCAATAAACCATATTCCTTGAACACATTTTGGAACAAACTGAAATACCAAGAAAAGAAGAACATGGTTATTTGCAGACAATGGAGGGACCACTTCAACATAAATATTGTAATAGATGGACAGATTGTCCTATATTATAGCTCTCTGTGTAAGTATCTATTTTTTTCCCACTGGAATTGACTCCTCAAGGGTTTATATCATTTCTGTTTCAATTCCACATCCCTCACAACTCCAAAGTTCTTTTCATATATGAAGGCCTCTATACATGTTTATTAAATTTAATGTTTTTTAAATGTAGTGAGGGCATACTATGCAACGTAGGCAGAATGGTAGATGTTTTCATGGCTTTAAAAAAAGTTGATCCCTATGGCCATCCTGTATCAGTTATTTATTGCCTCAATAATGACATTTTATAAACCACCCAAAAGCTTAGTAGATTAAAACAATAACCTTCTATTTTTTTTTTTGTGGGTCTACATGTTGGCTGGCCAATTCTGCTGATCTGCATTGGGCTCAGCCAATCTTCATGAGGGGTGTTCATGCATCTGCGGTCAGCCGGAGGGCAGATGGGGGAAGTTGATCTAAGATGGCCTAACATAGAGCAGCTGGAATGATTGGGGCTTCTCCTCACATGATTTTTTTTTTAATTTTCCAGCAGACTATATTTACACTCATGGTGAAGAGAGCAGGGTTTGAAAGAGCAAATGGAAACATGCAAGACATTTTGATGCAAGGCTTAGAACTGGCACACTGTCACTTGGACCACACTTTTTTGGCTAAAGAAAGTCACAAGGCCAGTCCCAGATTCAAGGGCTGGGGAAATCAAATCCACCTCTCAATGCAAGGAGCAACAACTCATACCACAATAGGTTTAAGAATTACAGCCATTTTTGCAATCAATTCACTCATAAGTTTAATTTTAAGATGAAAAAATAGGTCAAAAGTTTTATGAAAAATGTTATAACACTGGATTATGGTGATAGTTGCACAACTATAAATTTACCAAAAATCATTGAACTATACCCTTACAATGACTGAATTTTTTGATATGTAAATTATCCCTCAGTAAAGCTATTGAACAAAACCTGAAACTATTTGTAAAACTTTACTGAAGATCATTTAAGTCATAATTGCCCAAATCTGCATTTAAATTCAGGAATTCTAGCATGAAACTCGGTAATCCTTCCATTGCAATACATTGTATCATACCTAAAGCATTAGATTCTCAGAATCAGAGAATCTAGGAACTAGAAAGAACTTCTGCAGGTTACTTAGTCCGTCCCTCTTTCAAGCAGTTGAATGTGTAAAGCATCTAGTGCAGGTGCATAAGACCTCTCTTGGGTTGAAAAATAGGAACAGCTCTACAGGAAACCTGAGCCAGGTGAAAAATATGTCTCATCTTCTCATGTGGGATCCAGTATAGTTAATACTGGAAGAAAAACTTGAACCACTGTTCTTTCCAGAAACAGAAAATACAGACAATTCTTTTGATTTTACTTCTTTCATTTCATGATGAACTCGTACTGAGTAGCCAGGATACCACAGGTACTCAGATTCTAGTATTAATAGCATTAGCATTTTTCTTCCATTTTAGTACCCAGAGTCCAAATCTAAATGTCTTCTTTAGGGCTGAAAGTGGTCATATTCAAATTAAAGGTCACCCAAATAACTTCTTTTGTGGGTTAAAATCTCTGACATGAGGACTCTAGGAAGAAGAACAGTTTTTTAAAAGGTGGACATGTACAATCTGGTCCTTCTATTGAAAGCCTTAAGGGGTCTGTGAAGATGATGAACAAATGGGAAGTGTTCCAGTTTTATCCTATAATTCGGACTTGTTTCTGGAGGGAAAAAAAAAAAAAAGTAAAATCCGGAGGAGATGCATCCAAGCTCTCCATAAACAGAGCTTTGAAGAGCAAATTGAGCGGCTTTCATCAATCACACACAGACCACAGCAAACACAGCCCGAGGAGAATCACTCACCCAGTGTCAGGCAGGGTCAGGCAAACGTTATCAAACGCTCTTTCAAGCTATTATGAACCAGAATCAGAGGGAGAGAAGGAAGTAGAGGAGTGCCAAAAATAAGATCCCGAGGGGAAGGGAGGCAAATAAGGCAAGAAAGAGATGCAGTGGCAAAGAGGATGTGGAGGGAAGAGAAAGAGAGGAAGAAAGAGTGAGGAAAAGACACAGGAAAATATATAAGTAGGTAGCAAGACACAGAGAGCAGAAGGGAAGCAGAGAGAATGGCGCAGCAAAACAGAACAAAAGTAAATCAACAGCAGCAAAAGGAAAGCTGGAAAACAAGGTGGAGAGAAATAATCTTTCCCCATGGGTGGGGTGGAGGCCACACTGGCAGCCATCTGTCCTGAGGATATGTCATCTACGTGACCTTTCATTGAAAATTAGCCAAAATAGTTCAAGTTTCTGTGTATAGAGGAATATCATCATGTCTCAGTGAAAGGAAAGAAAAAGCAAACACTTCAATCATCTTCCTCTCCAGCTCCCCAAACTTATTCACTAGGAGGGACTATTTGATCATTCTGGATGGTTTCACTCAGGACCTGAAAATGAGAACAGCCATTAGAAACCAGCTCGATGCCCACCCAATCCCCCACAGGAGTGATTTTACCTTTTATTACAACAAAGCTCAGGCAGTCATATACCCACTCAAGTTGTAAATCTGCCTTCTTCACAGATCAAGTTCGATTTTCCAACTAATTAGAGAAAAACAAACCCACTCCTGGGTCAAAACCAAGCAAACATCCCCATCTCTGTATAGGACCTGGCTCTGTCTTAATTAAGAGGTAAGGGCCTGGGTGCCTGGGTGTTCCTTGGGGAACTTTGAGGGGCCAGGGGTCAGCAGGAGGGCAACCAGTGCAAGAAGAGAGCCAGTGCACCAAGGAAAATAAATGAGGAATGGGAGATAGAGGAGCCTTCTCCAAAACAAACTTTGCTAATTTACACGCTTACTCCATAAGAAGATATTGCAAATGGCAATGCATGAAGAGACAGAGTCCTCAAGACAGCCTAACTATTGGTACACCCTGAATATCAGTTACAATTAGGCGAGGTACTAGGAGCCAGTTGATAGTGGCTCCCAATTCTTAACTGAAGAGTTCAGATAGGAGCTGAGAGAATAACAATAGCTAGAATTTATTGAGCCAATCATTTTTACATGCACCATTTTATTTAACCCTCACAATAACCCTATCTAATAGACATTCTTCTAATTATTATTCCCATTTTACTGATGAAGAAACTGAGGCTCAAAGAGGTTACATAACTGGCCCAAAGTCATACAGTGAGCAAGTACAGAAGTGGAAATCTGAGCTTG